>NC_000010.11:51355216-51506731 GCF_000001405.40 Homo sapiens
TTTTAGAGGTACGTAATACAAAATTCAAGAATCCCTTAATCTTTTAGCTTTTTATTCCTTCTTTGACAACACCCTGGAAATGTTAAGTAACTTACACTGTTTTAAGTTCCTTTGAATATTTTTAAAGGATGATTTTTCAGACTTTGCAGAAGAGAAACTAGGATCACATATACGGTGACTTGTTCAAGACTATTCTGTAGGTTCCTAATAGAAATATCCTTTGTATTCTGCAGCTCTTTCTCCCCCACACTGTGCTTCTTTTCATGAATACCAAAATTAAATCAAAGTTGAAACATTAACCAGAGAAAAGCTTTTATTGTTGCTTTTTCCCTTTTCTGAAAAGAAATCTAATAGCCACAGTGAAGATGTAACCATCGCGATAACTTAGCGTGTTTGACAGGTCCTCCCTACCTCTTCTCAGTTGTTAGAAAGGATGCCCACCCAGATTTTTTTTTCATTCATGAAAGACTGTCTAGTGGAAGTTGGAAAAATAAAGTGGGGTCATGAATTTGTTTATAAAGGCTATTTAATTATAAGATAAATTAAAAATTGCCTAGGATTTTTAATGTGGGTGGCTGGTCTTTGATGAATGTTGTCTTTGCAAATATTCCCAATGATAGTAGTAGAAGCGAGTGTGGATGCCACCATCGCATTTATGTTGTGAATGGGATCTTCTTGACACCCATGTTTTCACAGAGTATTGCAGATTCTTTCTGCAGGAAAAAGGGTGGGAAAAGCCTGAGCTACAGCACTGCTAATGTTAGCACTTCTTTATATAGACAGATCCTGCTAAACCTGCACATTTTTAAGTCCTGTATTTGCTATGACAATAACATTTTTCCTCCCATCATAGAATTCACCTTATTAGGCAAAAGCTGCATGGTGCACACCTCCAGAGTTTTATTTTAAAGCTTTGCTACTGTATTAGTGGCAAAGATCACTGTAAAGGAAAACAGAGGATTCTAGTAAGAGAATGTAGGTGAACCAGAATGGTTGATGAAAATACTGCCAGAGCAAGTGTGATTCTGTTTCTTCTTCTTTTTCTTTTTTCTTCTTTTTTAATGGAACCAGTTTGTAATGTCACTGCTCTGATTCAAACAATTGTATATGTAGCCCATGCTCAGGGAGAAAAATCTATGAGGTCCAAGACAGAAAAGTCAGCTTACATTTTGCACTCAAAGATTGTCCATGCTATAGTTATCTGCCCATGAAAGGCTATTTGTAAACAGAATAAATCATTCTTTATGCTATTGGCCCTAAACTTCTCATGATTTTCTGAATATTCTAGACTAAAAGATGCTGCACTTTCATGTCTCTGTGCTCCCCGCTCCTCCACTAGAATTCTGTCTCCCTCCCCTACTCTTTTTCCTCTGCTGCTTCTGCCTTTTGAACTATTATTTGTACTTTAAAGCACAACTCAAGTGTCATCTGTAGCCTCTTCTGTTGACATTTCCCCCTACTTCACCTTTGGTCAACTCCTGTATCTTGAACATGTGTCTCTAATTCTGCTTTTTACTATAAACTTTAAATAAATGCTTTCTTTCCCAAGTAAATTTATTTGACTCTTTTCATCCTCTATTTCTAGCCAGCCATGGGCAATTGCCTGACTCCCATTGCACCATATACATACCTCTATCGCTGAACTATTGGTTTATAATTGGGAATTTTTCTAGGCACATCTATCCTCTCTATTAGGCTATACATCCCTTAAATGTGTAGGAGCTCTTATTTTTATTCCCATTGTGCTGTTAGCACCTAGCATGTGGTGGACTCTCCGTAAGTGGTTGTTAAGGGAAGAGATTGTTTTAATAACTGTGGTGGCCCAGGATGTAGTACAGTGGCTGGAAATGGCAGGAGCTAGATAAATATTTTCTGACTTCAATTAGCCTGCTTTCTATTAGAATGGCACTTAGCAAGAAGTGTAATGGGTATAGACATACATGGCAGCAGGTGAGAAATGAGAGGAAGGTCTTTCAGTCATTGCAAGTAGGCAAGTAGATTTTTAGGCTTAGCAGTCTCTTTCTGAGGTCTGTTGAAGGAACCTAAACCCTTTGGATTAAAGGAAATCTGTTATAAATGTCTATGACCAAGGAAGTAGTATTGATTGGTTTAAGATTGCTTAACTTCCCTGAGAGGGAAAGCAGCTTCTGTCTTGGCTCATTTGCCTTCTGTTGGAAATACCACTCTCTCATCAAGGGTGACTCGATTAGGAGACATGGAACAACAACTGAGGAGGCTGCACACCCTTCTCTGAAATCTTTTGGCAGAATCTCTCTACCTGCCAGCTCAGTGTCAATGACGGACATTCAGTTAAGGCAACTCTTATTGATTTTCATCTGTAAAATCCTTTTTCTCCACCTTTCAGAAACTATTGACGAGAATAAAACATCAAGCCTTATATGTTATGCTTTGCATGGGAAATTGATGTTAGTGGTCATATCCCATAGTCATTAGGGTTCTTTTTCCCATTTCATAGTCTTTCACTACAACTTTAATGAGAAAAAAAATTTCTATATAATTCCTCCTTTGATATATTATAGCCCTAAGAGAGCTTTGTCTAAGCCCAGCATTCAATCTAGAAGTTACCTAAATGACTATAAAATGAAATACTTTAAAAACTCTTGAAATATGCTTTAATATTTGGAAATAAAATATAACCCATGCTGTTTATAAGGCATTTTGGTAAATGCTAAGTTTTCATTACTGTTCAATACATTTTATTTTACATATTAGGGATTTCTAGATTTTTTTTTAAGTTACAAAACTTTTAAAAGGTTATTTATCCATTGTTTCATAATAAATTACGCCAAAACTTAGTGGCTTAAAACAGCCATAACCATTTCTTATTTTTCATGGTTTCTTTAGGTCGGGAATTTGTGAAATGCTCAGCTGAGGGGGTCATGAGATTGTAGTCAGGTGCTGGCTGGAGCAATAGTTACTTGAGTCTTGACTGAGACTGGAGGATCTATTTCCAAGGTAGCTCACTCATGTGGCAAATAGGTGCTGTTGGCAGAGGGTCTCATTTCCCTCCATGGAGGCCTCTTATTCAGAGAGAGCAATCCAAGATACCAAGGCAATGCCTTTTATGACCTAGCCTCAAAACTCACACACTATGACTTTTGCCATATTCTACTGATTGAAGCAATTACAAATGTTCACTCAGGTTAGGGGATAGGAGTAGACAGACACAACTCTCAAGTGTCAAGGAATGACAGGGTCTAAAGGAATGTCAGTGTTCCATGCAATAAGACCAGGCAGTCTGGAATATATACTGGTGAATCTGTCTTTAGAAAATATAGTCTGCTACAACTGGCAAAGGAGAAACTGAAAACTATAATTCTGGGGACTAAATAGTAAACAAGATATGTCCACTGTTTTCAGAGAGCTTGTAGTATAATAGAAAGAGAAGAGACAAGGAGGAGGCTGATAGTCATTTTACAGGTTATAACCAGAAGAAGATAATCACCTGGGAGTCCAGATGGAAGATTACTGGATGGGAGAGTTAAAATTTACTTTGGCCTTTAAAGCCTAAGTTAGCTAATTTGGAATACTGTCATAGACTCTTGTTCACTATGGATGTGGGTCTTTAACTGTGTTACCATAATGCTGTAAAATATGCAATTTTTGCAAATATTATTTAAAAGGACAGCTTTAAGAATCAAGTTTTCCTTTAGTTTAAAACCTCCATCTTAGTTTTATAAATAAAACGTTATTTATTGGGGGGGGGGGTGTGGATTTTGTAGATTTTTCCTGCATGTGAAGGTGTGACTTAAGTTTTAGAAGTCTAATTTAGATCTGTTGAAATGACTATAAATTTATATGGATTATTGCCTAAAATTTCAGTTGATATTGGAAAGTGGCCAGGATACTTTATTAATGGTTTTAGAAGATTATGCATGTTTCTTTTTAAAATGACTAAAGGGTTCATCTGAAATTAGTTCTTATACCATTATTCTAAGCCTATTTTTTCCTGCAAATAAAATCCTTTTGAAGACTAACTGTATTCTAGTGAAGACAATACATATTATAATTATTTAAGTTAAAATTTTAGTTAAAGGTAGCCTTAGAATTGAAAAGTTTTATGGTTAGACCTCTTTAGCCACTTTAATAGTCCTCACTAAAAAGCACTGCTTCCTCTGATGGATGGGAAAACAAACTAGAGATACATAGATTACCTGTATTCTCAGAGGCCATGTAGCCAGCTCAGCTTGGGTTACTTGGCCAGTCATTTGTGTGTGTGTGCGTGTGTGTGTGTGTGTATACAGGGTCCATTATTATTATTAACAGTCATATATGTAAATGAACTATGACTTTACTAATTTTATTGAATTCAGATTTATTTAAAAGAAAAATAGGCCTCATTTTATTTTTAAAGAAATGAAACATCTTTACCAGTAAAAAAAAGGGAGTACTTGGTTTCTGCCATCATGGCTGACTATGTTTTAGCATTAGGAGTGAGACTTTCCTTGCTGTAAATAATCATATGGCTCAATTAGAACTTGAGAGAAAAAAGATGAATGGCATAAAGTATGAGGCAGGTGTGTAAAAAGCAAGGAGGGGAGGAATGAATACACCAAAAGACCAGATGGGAAAAGAACTCTACTTTTGATGATCAAAATAATTTATAGAACTAGTTCTTTAATGCAGATATGTCAGACTGGTATTAAATTCTGGGCCAGAGAGCTAGCCTGGAATTTCCAAGATACAGAGTAAACTCTAACTTTCAGAATTCTGCTTCTCCCACTGAATGACAAGGGTATTTTTAAGTCTTCAGAAAATTGCTCAGGGGTTTCTGGGGTATCCTGATGGAAATACTACAACCCCCATAATGAGGGAAAATGTTAGTTGAGAATTATGGTAGTTTTATTAAAGCTAATTAGATCGTTGACACTTTCCAAGATGTCTTTTGGAACACTGCTTTTCATAAATTTGAGCTGTAGGGGCACCAGCTATAGGAGGTGTTAAGGAATCCATGAATGCACCTGCTGATACTGGAGATGTATGAATTCACTGTTACATTATGCAGCATCAGGCCTGGGAAGCAGAAATCTGATCTCAATTTTGCCTGCCTTCTGTGTTTATGACCTTGTACAGGTAAACTTATGCACATAGGGGCTTTCTAATTCTAACAAAGAAGTTATAAAAGACATCAGCCTCCAGCATATAAACTGTTCAGTCATTTTAAGTGAATTCAACTGATATAAGGGGAATGTTGGAGTAGAAGCAGAATTTGTTTTCAAGTTCTAGCTCTGCCTCTTGTTAAACTCCATTATTTCAGGACAAATAATTTAAATGTTCTGATTTTCAGTTTACTTACTTGGCAATTCAGATAGTGATAGCTGCCTTATCAATATCATAGGCTAGTGAGAGGGTGAAATAAAGATATAAATAAGAGATTATTTCTGAGCTGTAAAATTCCCTGCAGAGTACATAATTATTACTGTACTACCCACAGGCTTGTAACGCTTTTGTCTTTATAGTTATTTTTCCTATTTAGAGATGAATGCCATTGACCTTCCGCACACTTTAAGTTGTTTCCTTTAGTAGTAGGTGGTTGAGCCATCCACATACTCTTGCTTGGTCCTCTTGTTTTAGAGCAGGCAACACATTTCATGATAAGCTATGGCCATAGAGGTGAGATTTGTCTCTGAACAAGTCAATTTGCTATGTCATCAAACCATGGTCTAGCAAAATAACCAACCACTCAGGCATTTTTCACTCTAAGAAACTAGTGAAGAGCAGATTATGGCTCATTTAAAATATTGAGTAAATGAAGTTAAGGAAAATGTGTCATTGGAGCTATAGTATATTTAAGGGCACTTATCAGTATTCTCAGCTCCAGTAAAAAGGAATAGTCTTTTAAATAATATAATAAATAAATACAATTCTGGCGTGTCTTATTGCTGGAAATGTATAGACAATTTTTTGGTATATGATGTCCAAGACAAAAGACTCCCCAAACAAGGTTTTAACCTCCACAGGTGCCACTGCCACCACTAACGTCACTGCCATCCTCATTAGCATTTATTTAGCCCATGCTACATGGCATGAACCGCTATACAGACTTTCCCTATATTATCTCATTAAACCTTGTTTAACAGTATAGGTACCATGATTATACTCGCTTGGCATTTGTAATTGTTGTTTTGCTCTACTCTATCTTTGTACCAAGTACAACTTAATTGACACCCACATAAGAGAAAACCCTATCCAACTTAAATTAGTAAAATATTGGCTGAGAATTGCTCCAGCCTCTGAGTCATGGTCTACGTAATTCATTAAATTACTAGTAAGATGTTTTTGAAATCTTGTTCATGAAATTATTGAGAGCTCTCAGGTCCATGGTGAAAAATTTAAGAGGTTTTTTCTTCTTAGCATCTCTGAATTAGGAGTAGTTAACAGTTATCTAGGTTAAACCTATCTCATGCATGATAATGATCATACAGTTACTTCTGAAATGCCAAATTATTACCTATTAGCCACTGCTTGTTCTTATTAAGGCAGAATCTCTGATGTAAGTCATTCTAGGAACAGAAGTGCAAGCAGAAACACTGCATATTATTATTACCTATGTTGGATTTTTAGTGGTAACAATCACCTTCAAAACTTATTTTTATATGATTTCATTAATTCTAATCAATCTATTGAAATTGCATTAATTGATTTCTAGTTTTGCCTCAAATTTTCTTGTAAGCTAGATATTTTTCTGGAAACATAGCATTATTTAGAAATCTTAGATCTGTTTTAACAAGTTCATAAGTTTACATGGTCACTTTTCTGTTTCTATAGCAAGAGTAAGTTATTAAAAAAACTGAAATAAAAATTAAGTATAAGGGTTACATAATTGTGAAGTGGATTTACATTTTGGACATCTAGTCCTTAATTGGCATGCAACTGAAAGGTAGACAAGATTTTTTTTTGCTTTTGTTTGTTTTTGAGACAGGGTCTCACTCTGTTGCTCAAGCTGGAGTACAGTGGCATGATCATAGCTCTTCCCAGCCTTGATCTCCTGGGCTCAAGGGATCCTCCAGTCTCAGCCTCCTAAGTTAGACTAGATATTTAAGACATGGAGCCATATAAAAATATTAAAGTTTTCTATGTGTTCATAAAAGTGTATGACTTTTCCAGGAAAACCAAATTTTCTTTAATATGCATCATGGCTTCTTTTTAAACTTTTATGTGAGTCTTCTTTTTTTTTGGATAGTAAATGTAAATATATATTCATTAAATTTTTAGAAAAACATAATGCCATAGTATCCTTTAATATATTGTTGATTAAGGAAATTATAAAAAGGTCATTGATTTTGACAATATTGACCACCATTTATTCCATAATACTAACACCTAGCATTATATAAAAGTGGCTTTGATTTTAAATTATACTTTTAAGGAAAAACATTGAAACTGTATTTTTTTTATTTATTTATTATACTTTAAGTTCTGAGATACATGTACAGAACGTGCAGGTTTTTTACAGAGGTATACACTTGCCATGTTGGTTTGCTGCACCCATCAACCCATCGTCTACGTTAGGTATTTCTCCTAATGCTATCCCTCCCCTAGCCCCCAACCCCTCAACAGGCCCTGGTGTGTGACGTTTCCTTCCCTGTGTCCATGTGTTCTCATTGTTCAACTCCCACTTATGAGCGAGAACATGTGGTGTTTGGTTTTCTGTTCCTGTGTTAGTTTGCTGAGCCTTCTTTTAAGGCCAAGCTTTATGTAGTGTTACGATCAGCTTAGAACAAGGAATTCATTTTGAAACAGCAAATCATTCTCTGTCCTAGTCACCTTCCAGAATTACCTGTAGTGCCTTTTCAAAATACAGATGCCCTGCCCCAAACCCTTTAGAGTTTGATTCAAAAGATGCTACATGAATCTCAGATGTTCTTATTTTTTAAATGTCCTTATATGAATCTAATGTATAATCAGCAATGACAATCATTGAATATTTTTAAGAGACTGAAAAATAAAGTCTTCCAGAGGGGAGTACAATCCTAGTCAAAAAAAAAAAAAAATTCTCGCACTCCATCAAAAGTAGATTGAGTAAAAAAAATTTTTGGAGACTCTGTATTGATAAGCATGCCCCCTTCAGACTGGCTGCCCAGTATATTACACTGCTTTTACAACTTTCTTTTCATCTCTCACGGAATCTACCTATGTATATACTTTGATATTGCGAGGAGAAGATTGTGAATATCAGCTGATTCATTTCTTTGCCGAACTAAATCAAATATAGAGAGAAGGAAAAATGCAAGTATGTGGATGTAAAAAGGAACAAGAAGGGGGAAGTGAAATAGGTAAAATTAAATAGAGGTGTCAAATAATACCAGGAAGCCTCCCAGGGGACTTAGTGACTTCAGTTTATGTATTATCTTGTTATTGGTTAACTACGGCTGCTGTTTATTAATTCAGATCATCATTAGAGACACGTATTGTTGTCCTACTGCTAGACAGCTTAAGGTGATGGTGGTAGGAGTCGTGAGTCTTTTCACCATGACTCTGCCACCCTGCACTACTTTAAGAAAAGTCAAAGCATGTGAACCCTGTGGTACCCATTAGTCAGTCCATGTGGAGCTCTCTGCCCTTCTCTGCCCTGACCACGTCAACGTAAGGTTTTTTGCATGCACAAAGGCAAAGTACTTTTAATTGAAAAGTTTCTTATTTCTTTAGAGTGAGAATGTGCATACTAAATAATAATCAAAATAAGTCAAATAGCTTTGTTCTGTACAAATGGAAATTTGAGAAGAAGACCTCTTAGAAAATGCTAAACCAAAAAAGGTGCATTTGATTTGAATAATGACAGAGAAACACTGACCTCTCTTTTCCTGGGCTGAACTAAAAACTGGCAGGACATGCTCAGCCTTCTTAGCACAAGAATTAGATTAAAGTCACTGCAGTTTTTTATTAGATGGCTAAGGGGAAAATATCATCCACGCTAAATCTCACTCTTAGCTGGTTTCTCTATATTTTAGTCCATTTACTTGAAACTGGATCTTCACTCTATCCACTCTATGGTTAGCTTTTTGTAAGTGACCATTCATTTAGCCTGTCTGCTGTCTTAGGATGGGCTCTTCAGCAGTCAGGCAAATGGGAGGAGCCATTTGATCACTACTTGTCTTTTATATACAAATATCTGGTTTGGGCACACAATATCCTTCAGAGATATGACATCACAAAAGGCTATTGACAATAACCTTCATGAAATGAGATCTTTGCCAAGTTGTGGTATGTGCTTGACCGTTTCCAACATCCACTAAGATCCATATGTTTAATGCCATTGGCAATACATGCTTTTCATCACATCCACTTTCAAGCTGGCTGTGTAAATTGGAGATAGGACTCCAACAATTACTTTAGAAATTGTTATATTAAAAATAAGAGGGAAAAACCTAAATTCCCTTTATAAGGAAAATACCTAGCCAAGCTCAAATGGATGGATTTATATAAAAAAATTTCAGGAAAAACCTATAGATAGAAAAAAATAATAATTCTTTGGTGTAAATATCTGAGAAATGTTTCATTTATCTGGGTTGAATTTGTAAAATAATTGCTCAGATAGACTCCCTGGAGTGGCTTTATCACGATTAGGAGTTTAGTTCTCAGCTTTACAGATTCAAGAAGTCAGTATTATCCAAGTTGATAAGGCTATGAAGTCTGACTCATGTGAACCAAATGCACAAGGGATTCAAATATAACCACGTAAACTCTATATAATAAGTAGAACAAATAATTACCATTTACTGAGTGCCTACTTTAGTAACAGTTATAATGAAAGGTTCTTTTCCTGCTGGGATGTATATATTAGCACAGAAAATCAATTTGGAGCTGGACAGTGATGAATTTAAGTCTCTACAGACCATTACTAGCTCTATAACTTTGGGTTTTCTTATCTGTCGGGTGACAGAATTAAGTCATAAAATTGATCTAATATGTGTAAATCACAAAGCACAGTATCTGGCACATGGTAGGCACACAGTAAAATGCCTGTTGTCACTATCATCATCATCTTCTTCGTCTTGTTTTCACCACTCATCATCATTAACAACATATCTAACAGATCCTATTCTGTCTGATTCAAAGCCCAATCTCTTTCCATACTGTCATCCTCCTGTAGGAGCTGGGTTGACTAACCAGCACAATTTGCTCTAGAGGAAATCCTGCACAAGGAATCAAATTATAATCAGAAGGCAGTTAGTATAATGTCATGAGATAAGAGGAAATCAACTTAATAATCTTAAAGTTTGTGGCTTCCAACTCTGGGTGCTTGATACATCTGTCTCTACAGTGGAGCAGTCCTGCCATTCAGCCCCAATAAATTGGTTAATTTTGGGGGGCTGAATATTCTAATAATTTTAATTGTTTCTGTTTATTTCTAACAACATGTGGTGAAAGGATGCTGAACATCAGGATCACTGAGGAGCTTTTGTAGAAATGCAGAATCTCAGCCCAATCCCAGAGCTGGTAAATTAGAATCTGCATTTTAACCAGATTCCTAGGGGATTCAAATGTACAATCAAGTTTGAGAAACATCATTTTTGGGGGATATTCCTTAGTATCTCTCTTAAGTACCTAGTCTCATCCACTATATGCATATTCTTACTAGTTTCCCTTCAATAGAATAAACTTATCCCCAAGTAATCTTATTTCCAAGCTGCATAGCTTTGTACTAAATCTTTTTTTTCCTCTCCATCACTATACGAAAAAAAAAATTGCTGTGTAAAAGAGACTAAATAAAAAAAATTGTTTCCAGGTCTTTGTTTAAAAACGACTCTATCACTCAAGTTCTATATCTTGGCAGATGGCATCATTTATATTTAAGGGAAAAGATAGTTTTATATTATTTGGTTCTACTTTTTAGAGTTTGCGTTTGCATGAGGTAATTTTTTTATTTTTGGTCATCTCTTTGAAGTCTCTCATTTTTTTCTCATTTTATTTCTCTGGTATAATTTCTCTGGTATGATTCCTCAATCACTGCTGCTGAAGGAAGTGCAATGTCACCCTGACACCAACCAACTGGAAACCTGGCAGTGCTTTTGGAAATTCTTTGTCTTTCAGTTTTTCCTAGTAGAACATGGAGTTCATCTGTGTTTGCAACCACTTATAAGTGGATATTAAAAAGCCACCAGTTCCTTCTTAAATCCACTTAGATTTTAAAGAGCATTCTATAATCAATGAGTTTGGTCTCCAAGAAAACAATGTTCCTGTCAAGACAAGCTTTAAAACTTTGGAAGCGTCTGATCAGCCCATACTTTATGGAGATAACTTCTCTATAACCTTTCAAGCTTCTACTTATTTACTCTTTTCTATAAATTAGTAGACCTGATAACATACCTATCTGTAAATACAGTTATCTCCAGATTCTATCTCTCTGTTAAGTTAACATGGCAATCTGTTTAAACAAACTGGAGGTCCTTCTTGGCCTTCAAATTCATAGAACTAAGACACACTATTTAAATGTTTGTGTGTATTTGTGTTATACATCCATATATATCCTTACTTATTTAGACAAGATTATAAAAAATCATTTCTCCAGCATGTACATGAAAGCTTTCTTCAAAATTTCTTCATTTTTTTCATGTTCTGAATCAAGTCTCTCATTATTTTAACAGAAAATAGAAAGTAATTTTACCTCATTTTTCTAAGCCTTGTTGTTTAGAGAGGTAAAAACACATGTCTAAGTCTACCCTTCCGACCCCTCCGACCCCCTGCAAAAATTAATGACTAAACCAAGTGTTGTAATCCAGGTGTCTTGGGTTCTGAGCCATTGCACCATTAAATAACTCACATCATAGCAATTGGATGGGGAATTTTAAATTCATTAATTTATCATTTAAGAAAACCAGTGAGGGATTACCCATTTGTTTTACTAGGTTTTTCCTCTCTTTGAGCAGTTTCATTTAGAAACTAAGACTCTTTTTTTTCCATGTTGTCAGAAGAGCTAAAAAGAAAGTATTTTCAGCTCCACGGATTTCAACAGGGAGGCTTTTAACAGTTATGCTGCACGTATCCAATTAGCTTGTGAAATCTTATCTCTTCTACCAGTAAAAAGGGCTCAAAAAGAAAACATTGAAATTCCAAAAAGAGCAAGAGAGTGTTTTTGGCAACAGGGTAACTCAACTGAAAGAGAGCTTACTAGTTAAAAATGGTAATTTGGGCATTTTGTTTTCCTTTAAAGAGGTGTGTCGATATGCAGAAGTAGGAACCAAATGTGCGTATGTACAAATGCTGCTGAGGGAACATCTCTTATGATGCCCAGGGCTGGAATTTACTCCTTTTTTCTTTTTTCACACTTAACAACTAGCTCCATAAAAGGAATTAGACAAGAGTCTTTCTAGTGATAGATACTATGTTTTCCTTCTTGTTGCGTCTGTCCCCCTTATTTTTATACCTTTCATCCTTTTTAAAGTCCTTTGATTTGCTAATTTCTCTATTCCATCTAAAGCAAGCAAAGACTGCTTATTTTTGGAGTAGAAGAACTTCAAAGTCTCTACCAATTTTGAGATGTAAATTGCTCTTCTGTGACCTAATATATGATTAATACAGCACAACTACTAACACAGTGTTTTTTGGTCCAGTAGTAAATTGGTATTCTCTTAATCAGAAAATGTATTCCCTACGTAATAAAATAGATCTTTTCTGTTGACATTCAGAGCACTCAAAGATCCAGTCCTTAATTTACATTGCTTATTACACCTCAGCTTGACCCCTCTGCCCAGCCAAACCAGTCTACAAACTGTTTTACAGGGCTTCCCTCTCCTTTCTGATTATAGTGTTTTGCTGATTTTATTTCCTTTTGTAGAAATGTCCCAACTCCTCCTCTTCCCAAATCCTACCTGCTTTCCAGAAACCATCTCAGATACTAATTCCTAAGAACATCATAGAGCCAGAATATTTTCTTATGCAGTTTTATCTAATATTCCTAGCTACAAATAAACTCTTTTATTTTTGCAATGTGAATATTACCCAAGGTATTTCCTTACCTATTGCAAGCCTAGATTTTTTAGGTTACTATGTTATTTGAAAAGCATGCAGTCTTCAGGTCTGACTACTTCATGATCGAAACATATTACACTTTTTTTCGTCTTCCTTGTAGAGGACTGTCAAGAATACAAGAAATTTTACAGCTTCTCTTGACTTTTTAATAGCCATTCACCTAGTAGACAAGAACCTGCTATGGATGGAGCTTCATGGGATCAATATAAATTTCATATTCTGAAATTTAGTGTAAAAATGAACTTTGTATTACCTCAGGTCATGGTCTATAGTCTTGTTCTTCTAGCATCTATACCTTTCAGCACTTCTCACACATTGGGTTTATATTCCTCCAAAATCTTACATAGAAAAGGTGTTCAGAAAATGATAGCTGACCTAATTTAAAATTACAGAGTGACATGGGATGACAAAAGAGAGTGAAATGTTTAAAAGCTGAGTATTTACTATGAACAATAGATTTACTCTGTTCTTTCTAGTGGATCAAGACTAAAGAGTACTAGAATGTAGGACATCTTCAGGAAGAAAACAATATGTATCAGAAAGCTACCCAATCAAAATCGTTTTGCCACACTGGAGAAATTGTGGACTAAACTGGCTTAACCAAATTTTCTTCATGGGAGCGTAGTGTCCTCAGTGATTTATTCAAATCAACAACCATCAGGAAGTAGTCTCCAAGAATGAGGTATATGGATTGGAGAAATGAGAGTAAGAAGAAACGGAGAAAAGGAATGTACTGTTATTAAATTCTAGGTGAAGGAATCTCAGAGATTTCCTTCATCTTCATAACACCAGAAAAAAATCTTAGAAATGAGATAGTCTCTATGATTCTAAAAGTGAGATTATATACCTGGAGATTTCGAAGCCCAAGGCTCGTGTTTCTTCAGCTGAAAATCACTGCCGTAATGCACAATAAATGCCTGCCAATAGGAGGCGCTCATAATCTTTTTTTTCATTAGAAGCGACTGTTTCTGAATGGAGTGTCTTATTCTGTTGGGCTTCTATAAGAAGAATACCATAGACTAGGTGGCTTATAAACAATAGAAATTCATTTTTCACAGTTGAGGAGACTTGGAAGTCCAAGATCAAGGCATTGACAGATTCAGTGTCTGGTGAAGGCCCACTTCCTTGTTCATAGGTGGCGCCTTGTCACTGTGTCCTCATATGGCAGGAGGGGTGAGGGAGGTCTCTGGGGCCTCTGTTATACCATCTCACTGGGAAGTAGGTTTCAACATATGAATTTGGAGGAGAAACAAACACTCAGCCTATAGTAGGGAGTATCTCATCTCTTTCATGTCTGGAAGGTAAACAAAGGTTGAACACCATCAATTTAGAAGATCTTCATCTGACAGAGGGGCTGTAGGGTGTAGAAGAGTTAGTAATTCCCCAAGGCTGTACAGCTTCTTGGTTGCACAGCAAGAACTGGAATCCAGGTCTCTTGGTTGGCAGTCCAGTGCTGTTTGCTTAGCATCACACTATCCAATTAATAGCTCCTCTCCATCCTTTGACTGGCCTTACAACTCTCACCACCTTTATTAAATAGAGGGATTTCCAAGTCAGTTTTTGCAAGAAGCTTTAGGACCATGTGTCCCCTATGCACCTTATGCTCTACGACATCATCTCTGAGAGAAAAAGAACGCCCATGAAAAATATCCATCTACACTAAAGACATTTATGTATACCAAAATGTGGAAGCCCAGCTAAAATGGGATAGCCTGAATAACAATCAAATATGAGTTTATTGTTTACTTTTTTCTTTCTTGTACTAACTCTAGCAAGCCAGCTCAAGCCACTCAGTTTTGGAGTGATTGCTGCCTTCTGGTGTTTGCCATTTTGATGATGAGATGAGTAATTTCTTGGTACCATATGAAATATCAAGGTCAGAGTGGCTGGAGCATCATAGGGCAAACAAGAGTGAGTCACTGGGTGACTGCTATGAGGCTGCCTCCTCTGTGATTTTGTGAGCCAGAGCTCCCTGCTTGAATGCTCTTTCCGGAGGGGTAAAGACTTTAGAAACCTATTTTTCTTACAAAACCATTGTTGTTGCTTTGTTCCCCACAGGTACTTTTTTCTTTAAGATGTAAACGCTCCCTGGGTGCTAAATGGATCCATCCTTATTTCTTGCAAAAGAGTTTGGTTAAATTATTTTTATTTCAGAGTTTTTCCTAGCGGGATGAGAGTCCTGAGTGGCCTATTCCTAAGGAGGCTGGAGGTTGAAAATAATAATAATAAAATAATAATATGGGGTTAAGAAAGAGAGAGAGAGAAAGAGACAGAAAGAGAGAGAGAGTGTGTGTGTGTGTGTATGTGTGTGTGTGTGTGTGTGTAAGGAAAGTTTAGTCCCAGCAGCAGCCAGTCCCAGCCTTACCCTCACCATGCCTTATAATGCATCCCATCAGTGACCAATAGGAATACAATGTGAACCATAAATGTAATTTTAAATTTTTAGAAGCCATATTAAAAAATAAATCTAAAAAAAGGTAAAATTAATTTTAATAATATATTTTCTCTAATCCAGTACATCCAAAATATTATGTCAATGTGAATTAATATAAAAATTACTAATCAGGTATTTTACATGAGGTTTTTTTTCACATTAAGTCTTAGAAATCCTATGTCAATTTATGCCCAAAGCCCATGCCAGTTCAGACTACCTACATGGCCATGCGTAGGGACTGTAATGGACAGTGTAGTTATAGAGTAAAAACCAGCTCTACAGTTTGGCATTTGAGATCCTTCTTAATTTGTCCTATAACTTTTTAAACTTTGTGTGCCCTACACCCTCTATATTCCAGCCTTGCCAGTTTCCTTCTCATTTGTCCGCATGGTATAGTTTTTCATTTTTTTTTATTTCTGCAGTGGCCTTTGCCTCCCTTTCCACCATCCGTGTCCCAAAACATGTCCCAGCTTTGGAGACAGCCTGATAAGGGTCTATAAGGTCCGTGATTGGGATTTAATTCCAACTTCATTGCTTAATAATTAGGTGACCTTAGGCAAGCCATTTAGCCTTTTTGAAACTTACACTACCTATCTTTAAAATGATGATCATGCCAGGAATGGTGGCTCATGCCTATGGTCCCAGCTACTTGGGAGGTTGATCGGGGGAGGATTGCTTGAGCCCAGGAGTTTGAGACCAGCCTGAGCAACATTAGAGACCCATCTCTTTAAAAAAATAAAAGAAAAAAAAACATGAGGACAATAATTACTCTGTGTGTGTGTGAGTCTGAGGGGGTGGTGGGACAAGAGAGAGCGAGAGAGAAAAAACTGATGTAATGAATACAAAACAAACAAAAAATATTTTTAAAAAGACATGTAGTGCTGTAGTTATACACCCTGGCACATAATAGTTAAAATGTCCTCCTCTTTCTGAGTTACTTTCCAAGTTGCTTTTGTGAGTAACACTCCTATTCCCATCTGCCAGCAGTGCCACAGAGCATGCTGTTAAATGGTCAGTAAGCTTACTTAAGTATCTCATTCTTTGTATTCTGCAGTCTCATCACCTGCACATCTTAGTTCTACCTTCAACAGCCCCTGCTCAGGCTTTCCTCCTCAGTCACCATCATCAACCCCTTTCTTCTTTCTTTTTGCCAAAATGCTAACAGCAAAATATACAGCCTCTGCTTTTTGGAAATGATTGACTCTGGTACCAAGTAGAGCTGCACAGGTGCCCTTCCGTGGGGGCTGAGAACTAACAAGCTACCACTGAAAACTATGCCCAGCTCAGGGTGATGGTACAGCCAGTTCTGTCCCCTGCTGTAAGAGTTTCCTAGGCAACCAGTACACATTGCCACTGGAAGAAATGGAAGAAAAGTCAAAACCTGCATCATTTCCAGTTTTCTATACGTTTGAAGTGCTAGAAACATAATAAAAAACATATGGATAACTCAGCATGTGTTTCAGTATTTCATGTCATGTTGGTTATGGCCTCTGTCATATCTCTAATGGAACTGCTAGTGAATTACTAGTGATGGTGTTCTATAAGTGAAATTGGTTATTTCTAATGAAGTAAGGTTTATCGTTTTTTATATCAGCCTTGTCCATATTTTATTAAATTTAATCCTGCATTTTTGTGTGTATTGAGCTTTTATAAATTACATTCTAAATTTCCTTTTTAAATATCTTTTTGCTAACATATAAAAGTACAATTGAGTTCTTTATCTTGTATCCAGAAACCTTGCTAAATCACTTTACTAATTCTAATAGCTTCTATATAGATTCTTTTGTTTTTCACTTGTGTAATCATGTCCCCAGCAAATTTTGAGAATTTTAATTCTCCATTTCCTTATCACTCTTTTTACTTGCTTTAACACTGTCTAGAACTTCTGCTACTATGATGAGTAAAGTGGAAATAGTGGACTGCCTTTTCTCGTTTCCAAAATCAAGTGAAGGCTTCAACATTTATCACTAAGTATAATATTTCCTATAATTCCATGTAGATACTCTTCTCTTCCTGAAGCTTTTTAAAACATTACAAATGGAAATAGATTTTGTCCTATTTCAAATTTGCTAAGAGGGCTTTGAAAAATCACAAATTGAGATATAATTTTATCAAATACTCTTCCTGCATCTATTGAGATAATCACATGATTTTTCTGCTTCATTTTATAAATATGGTGGTTTAAATTTATTGATTTTTAGTTGATAAACCAATCTTATATTCCTGGAATAAACCCAACTTGTTCATAATGTATTATATTTGTATGACTCATTGGATTTCTTTTGCTTATATTTTGTTTAGGATTTTTTAACTTATGTTCGTGACAGAGAGTTTACTGATGTTTTCTTTTTCTTGTAATGTCTCTGACAGGTTTAAGGATCAGGGTTATTTTAGCATCTTAAAATATGGCTCTAAAGGCTACCATTATGTCTATCCATCCATCCATCGATTCACTAATCACACAAATATTTTTTGAGAGGCAATATAGCATAGTGGTTTAAAATAGAGATTCTAGACTTCCTACATTTGAATAAAAAAACTTACTGTAACTATATGTTATCTATTTCTGTATAACAAATTTTCACAAACTTAGCAACATGAAGCAACACAAAGTTATTATTTCACAGTTTCTGTGGATCCAGAATCTGGAAATCAAGAATCTGAGCCCTCTGCTTCTGGGTCTCTCAGAAAACTGCAAGTAAGGCATCAGCCAGGGATAGAGTCTCACCTAAGGTTTGATAAGGAGGTGCTATGATTCAAATGTGTCCTCTCCAAAATTCAGGTGTTTCTTTTTTAAAAAATAAAATTAGTTCCAGGGTACATGTGCGGGATGTGCAGGTTTGTTACATAGATAAACGTGTGCCATGGTGGTTTGCTGCACCAATCAGCCTGTTACCTAGATATTACGCCTGGCATGCCTTAGCTATATTTCCCGATGCTCTCCGCCACCCCCTACCCTCCCCTGACAGTCCCTAGTATGTGTTGTTCCCTTAATCAACCCAAATGCCCATCAATGATAGACTGGATTTTTAAAAATGTGGTACATACACACCACAGAATACTATGCAGCCATAAAAAGAAACAAGATCATGTCCTTTGCAGGAACATGGATGAAGCTGGAGGCCATTATCATCAGCAAACTAACGCAGGTGTTTCTTTTCTTTCTTTTTTTTCTTTATCCATGCTGTCTCTTTTCGTTTTTTAAAAAATTATACTTTGGCTGGGCATGGTGGCTCACGCCTGTAATCCCAGCACTTTGGGAGGCCGAGGCAGGTGTATCATGAGGTCAGGAGTTCAAGACCAGCCTGGCTAACATGGTGAAACCCTGTCTCTAGTAAAACTACAAAAATTAGCTGGGGGCGGTGTAAGGCGCCTGTAATCCCAGCTACTCAGGAGGCTGAGGCAGGAAAATCACTTGAACCTGGCTGGCAGAGGTTGCAAAAAAAAAAAATATATATATATATATATATGTACTTTAAGTTCTGGGATACATGTGCAAAACATGCAGGTTTGTTACATAGGTATACACATGCCATGCACCCATCAACCTGTCATCTATGTTACGTATTTCTCCTAATGCAGTCCCTCCCCTAGCACCCCCACCCCCAACCCCCGACAGGCCCCGGTGTGTTATGTTCCCCTCCCTGTGCCCATGTGTTCTCATTGTTCAACTCCCACCCATGAGTGAGAACATGCGGTGTTTGGTTCTCTGTTGTGTTGGTTTGCTGAGAATGATGATTTCCAGTTTCATCTATGTCCCTGCAAAGGACATGAACTCATCCTTTTTTATGGCTGCAGAGTTAACGCAGGTGTTTCTAATGTGATAGATTAAGAGGTAAGGACTTTAAGAGGTGTTTAGGTCTTGAGGACTCCTCCCACATAAATGGGATTAGGTGCCCTTCTAAAGGGGCTTGAAAGAGGGAGTTGGGTCTCTTTTTTGCCCCTTCACCTTGTATCTTGTGAGGACCCAGCATTCCTCCCCTCCAGAGGATACAGTGTTCAAGGTGCCATCTTGGAAGCAGAGAGCAGCCCTCACCAGACAATTGAACCCAATGCTGCTTTGATGTTGGAATTCCCACCCTCCAGAACGGTAAGAAATAAATTTCTATTCTTTATAAATTACCCAGTCTCAGGTATTTTGTTGTAGAAGCATGAGACAGACTAAGGAGAAATCTGCTTCTAAGCTCACGTGAGTGTTGGCAGGATTCAGTCCTTTGCTGGTTGTCAGACTGAGGACCTCAGCTCTTTCATGGCTGTAGGCTAGAGTCTACCCTCAGCTTCTTGCCATGTGGGCCTCTCCATATGGCAGTTTACTTCATCAAAGTCAGAAGGAGAGAGAGAGAGAGAGAGTCAGTAGAGTCTGCCAGCAAGACAGCAGTTACAATATTAGGTAACGTAATCATTGATGTAACATTCCATTACCTTTTGCCATACTCTATTGGTTAGAATCAATGTACCTATTCTACTTACATTGGAAGAGAGGGAATTAAATAAGGCATGCATATCAGGATGTAGAGATAATCAGGGGTCATCTTAGAGTCTATCTGCTACTGTAAGTTAGAAAGATTATTTAACTTGTATATGCATTGGAGTCTTCTTCTGTGAGTGAAAATAATAATAGTACCTATTTATAGGGTCATTAGGAATATTACATAATTTACATAAATAAAACAGCTAGAATAGTGGCTGGCATAGAGGAGGTACTGCATTACTGTTAGATGCTATGACAGAATGAGCATCCTTATCTGAAATGCTTGGGACCAGAGTGTTTTGGATTTGGGGTTTTTTTTTTTGGATTTTGGAATATTCATAGAAGACATACTGGCTGAGCATCTCATATGTGAAAATCTGAAATCCAAAATGTTCCAGTGAGCATTTCCTTTTAGTGTCATGTCAGCACTCAAAAAGTTTCAGAACTTGGAGATTTTCAGGTTTGGGATTTTCAAATTAGGGATACGCAGCCTGTTGTATGTGAAGTGCCATATACTATTCAAGGTGTGAGGGACTTAACATTGAGTAACAAGGACAAAATCCTACCCTGATGCTGATTACAATCTACTGGAGAAAGGCAGAAGATAAACATATAAATATATAATATGAGTGTTGGTGGTGGGGGGGTGTTACTATTTTATATAAAGTGATCAGGGTAGTTCTTATCAGTGGCCTGAAGGACGTGAAGGAGAAAGCTTTGTATACATCTTAGGGATAACAAGAGTGAAGTAATTAAAATGAGAGTGTATTTACTTTAAGAACCACATGAAAGCTTGCTTTGAAACTATACATTGTAACTTATAAATATTCATGGTAGTTATTCACAGATGACAGTTTATTCCCAGATAGCTCTTCCATGTATGCAAAACACTACTCTGTAGAAATTGTTGCAGAAAATTTGCAAACCGACAAGAGGTTATGCTCAACAGAGACAGTAAAAAGTTAATCTAGAATCTTGGATTAAGCTGAGTGATGCCTTGGGTATTTATCCAAATTTGGGTTGAGTTAAATCCAGCTGCAGCAAATGCTACTACAACAATGGACCAATAAAAGCAGTTGAAAACCCCTTTTCTTTTCTAAACTATTCATAATTCAATTAATTAAACATGAAATCATCCCAAAGCTTAATTTGTTTTTCCTTCTAGCTTACATTTTTTACAGTTTATACATAGTTCCAATCACAATACAGTTGTGTCTCTTTCTCTTTTCTCAGTGTTTCATTAGAGAAATATATTGTTACCAATAATTATTAGGGATTCATTTTTAATGATTAAATCTTTCACCATATTGGTATATCAAAAATACTTGGTCTTATTCTCCTGAGCAGTTTGGTTATTTTTATCTTGTTTGCTATTGAAAAAAATTGGATGCTGTTAACACTTCTGAGATAATACCTTTTTTTGTATTTTAAATTAGTTTTAGAATAAATTCTCAAGGGTGGGTTACTTTTCCAAAGGACATTAACATTTTATGAAGCCCATTTATTTCAAGTCACATTTACTAGGGTTTTGTTTGTTTTCTTGTTTTTCTTTGTTGTTGTTTTTTGTTTGTTTGTTTTTGAGAGAGTTTTGCTCTTGTAGCCCAGGCTGGAGTGCAAGGGTGCGATCTCGGCTCACTGCAACCTCCACCTCCTGCGTTCAAGTGATTCTCCTGCCTCAGCCTCCCGAGTAGCTGGGATTACAGGCACCTGCCACAACGCTCAGCTAATTTTGTATTTTTTTTAGTGGAGAAAAGGTTTCACCATGTTGGCCAGACTGTTTTTGAACTCCTGACCTCAGGTGATCCGTCTGCCTGGGACTCCCAAACTGCTGGGAGTACAGTCGTGAGCCACTGCGCCTGGCCAGTCCATTTTTAATGGTAACAGAAATATCACCATCAATTGGTGATAAACCAAATGTCCATAGATTGTGTTATTTCTGAATACACTTAATGTTATAACCTGTTAGCAGTTAAAAAAAAAAACACAGTATTTATCCCTTCAGGCAATAAACAGAAATCTTATTCTCAGTAGTCTCTATGCTAACTGTATGCATAACTGGATATTTTATTTCACGTAGTAGTTCAGAGTAATCTGAAACCTGAATATTTGGACAAACAACTAATTCTATTTCTTGCTACCAGTGTGACCTTGGGCAGAGTATACACCTGCTCAAGTTCCTCAGCTTTGTTATCTGTAAAATAAGGTTAATAAGAATATCCACCTTAGAGGCTTTGTCTCAGTTGATACATGATAGGAGCTCAGTAAATGAAGGCCATTACTATCATATTATGTGTTCATAAGTTATTTTTAGATCAGAACTTGTTGAACTCACCATGAAGGGTTAAAAGTTTGCTGGAAACATTAGCAGCAGCTAGTGGTAGCCTGGGCTCTGCTAGCACTGCTGAAAAGACAACATAGTAGAATACAAGCCATGAAGCGGGCACCTATGGGTCATATCTGGTTATGTGTGTTTATCCCACATGGTGTTTTTTTTTTCTAAATTCGTTGCTAATATTGAACAATTTTGAAATTTCACCTAAAATCCTGATTTGTTGTTTTTCTTTAAAAAAATAAATTGAAAGATAAAACAAAACCTGGCTATTTTGCTTATGGCAACTGTCAGCTGGAGCAGAGCAGCAACTGCTTTCATTAGAAGAGGTATTGGAAAGGACCGCACATTCCCCAAGTGCCACCTGTGCTTCATTGCCTGTTGCTTACACCTTGCCTCCTTTGCTCATTTACATGACCTTGCTGGCTTCCAGAGAATTTCACCAGCACAGTGACTGAGCTCCTGGCCTCTGAAGGTTGAGAGACCTGGGTTAGACTCCTGGCTCTGGCCTAACCACGAATGAAACTCCAAGCTAGCTGATTGATCACTTATGTCACTAGACATTGCAGAGCACTGAGTGGCACAGTACATTTCTTACCAGGCTCCAGGATGTCTCATTATGAGAGATGCTCTGTTTGCTTTAGCCTTGGCCTTTGGGCCAAAGACATCCTTTCCTCTAGTCTGCAAGAAGTATGAATTGAGAAAATTACAAGGAATAGTAGAATGCCTAAAATGCTGCTGCAAAAAGTCTGTGTGCTCTTTCTGAAAAGACTGAAAATGGTTACTTTGAGACAGTGGGGAATCCATACCAGGAGCACTAAGCTTCTATTTTTATGCCTGGGAGAGTTTTTGAAGCCATTACTCCATGTTATCTAGTCTTAAAATGCATGATTCATGCATAACACAGATTGGAAATGGCAGAGAGATTGATCTTATGGTAGAAGTGTGCAGTTTTCCATAGCACTAGCCGACCATTTAGTAGTACAAGGGATCTGTAGACCTGAGCTAATTGGTTCTTTCAGGCATTTGAGCGCTAGTGTTCAGCTTCCCACTGAGCTCTGCATTTTTCCTTGTTTACACATTGTAATTAATAGAAGAGGAGACTATTGTACATTTACATAAAACCTCTAACCTCTATGCACATAATAGGGGGCCTAATGAAAACATTATATATTGTTCTTGGGGTTGCTAGCTAAGCAGATTAAGCAGAAAAATCACAGTGATGAGGAATCCAATAGACCTGAGTTTCAGTCTTGGCACTGCTGCTATGACCTGTGTGATGCAGGGTGATTTATTTAAATTCTCTGACTCAATTTTCTCATCTGAAAAAAAAATGGGATAGCATTAATGTCACTCATGGGGGGATTATATGAAAGAATTCATATTAGACATTTAAGACATGAATAAGCACTTAGTAAATAGAGTTAACCATGGTTTTCCCAGTGTATTAATGCAGAATGGTGAGAAATTTCTATATAATAGTAAATGTAAGCCACAGTTTTTGTCCTTATGGACCTAAGAATATTTGGTAGGGTTTATGCTGACCTTGAATATATTTTTATCTTATAGCACAGTCATGGTGAGCTTGACTATCTGGCTTTGACTCTCTATCCCACCTCTTACTCATTCTGTGACATAAGGCACCTTACTAAACTTCCTGTGTTTAATATCCTTATTTATTAAATGGGGACATTATTACTGACACATAGATTGTGTCAATTATTATTGATACCACATACCTTGTATCAGTTAGTATTGATACCACATACCTTGTGATGTCTGGCACAAGGTAATAATAACAATAATGAAGAGGAGGAGAAAAGCTAACATTTATCACATGTATTCTATTTATTAGTACATTATATTTATTACATGTAGTTAATTGATGTACTAACTTTTAGATGTATTATGTAAACCTCACAGTTACCTGTAAAGTTATTTTCATTATTAGTCCCTTTTATAGATGAGGAAACAAGAGCATAAGAAGCAAAATATCCAAAAGATATTAGTTGCTGTGGTCATTATCTTTAATAAAATGAACATCTTTCCAATTAATTACAATTATATTTAAATAATGGTTTTAAATTCCCTTCCCTCTTAATAATTCCATTGCATCTGTAGAGCTTATCCAACTTTCTGTAGCTGGACATTTTGGTTATTCTTATGACATTCACATGAAGAGCAAGTTTTGAAACTTCACATTTTACACAAGAAGTTGTCTGCCTGTTTGTGTTAGCTCTGAGATTAATTTTACATCCTTCTGTTCACTCGACAGATTTAACTGAAGAGTTGAGAGAGTAAGGCTGTCAGGCTAACCTTTGAGACAAGGAATAAAACTTTTGGACAGTGCACATTGGCAGGCAGAGGGCTGTGTTACTAACAGACTGGATGAGGTAAATATTTTCAACCTGTTGAATCTCTAATCCATTTTTGCACAATCTATAGCTATGAGGAAAAGCACAAGTGAGACCATACTGGGCTAAAATAAGTAGACTGAGGCATCTTATACACAGACTAAAACTAATATTCTTGGTTGATATGCTATTTAGACCAAAGAGATACTGTGCTGTTTTCACTCCTGGCTCATTCTTCTCCACCATAAGAGGTGTGATCAGCCCTGTTGAAGCCCTCTATGTCTAGGCTATTTCTAATTGCACTCTCTCTCTACCCCCAAACACTTAAATATTCCCTTTCCCTGCCTTATTTTCCTCCAAAGCATTGACCTCTATTTACAGACTACATATTTTACTTATTTATTGTCTAATCTCCCACCAGTGGTATAGGGAGCCTGCTTACTCTAGTTTGCAAAAGAAAATTGCTAACTATTTGGGAGTTTTGCGAGCTGATTATCCATAGTGGGAGTATTTACACCATGGAAATTGGCAAATGCTACCAATGAGGGCTTTTATTTTGGAGAGGTGGTTTGCCAGAACACCGTTGCCTCCCCGTTAAGCATAATCTCCATGAAAAAAGAGATTTTTTTGTTTCTATTTTGTTTATTTCTCTATCATCCTAATTAGAAAGGTGCCTTTCACATAGTAATTAAAAGTTGTTTGTTGAAAAAGTATGAAATAGGCCTGGTGCAGTGGCTCACACCTGTAATCCCAGCACTTTGGGAGACTGAGGCTGGCAGGTCACCTGAGGTCAGGAGTTCAAGACTGGGAAAACATTTTAAATGGTCCATTTTCAAGGCATGATAAATCTAAGTACTGGCAGCCAGCTTGTGGATGTAACAAATGGCACAGCTCATGCACCTAAAAGGTCACAATAAGTGAACAGAATGTAGAGGAGGGGTCAGCCCATAAAAGGGAAGAAAGTTTTGTTATTGGGAAATTGAAACTTAACCAGGGAAGGGGGCCAGGGTATAACCTTATAAGGGGAATAATGAAACTTAGGCGACGTCCAGGAAGATTGTAACCCCATAGTACTCGACCAATGAGGAACTGGGAGAAGAACTTGTGTGCTGGGAGATAAATTATCTGCTGTAACTGCCCTGGGTGTGCCTGCCTACCAGACACCCATCTTGCAAGACTGCTATTAGAAGTCTCACTTTCACTGTGCCTCTGAGTCCATTCTTTGAATTTGGACGGGTAAATGTGTGTTTTTTCAGAAAGACCAGCCTGGCCAACATGGTGAAACCCCATCTCTACTAAAAATACAAAAATTAGCTGGACATGGTGGCACACACCTGTAGTCCCAGCTACTCAGGAGGCTGAGGCAGAATAATCAGTTGAACCCAGGAGGTGGAGGTTTCAGTGAGCCAAGATCATGCCACTGCACTCCAGCCTGGGCAACAGAGCAAGCCTCCATCTTAAAAAAAAAAAAAAAAAAAAAAAAAAAAAAAAAAAAAAAAAAAAGGAAATGAAAAAAGTATGGAATAAATGCATGAGGAAATGATGTAAATGAGTGAGTGAATGAATGAATGAATGAAGAAATGAAACTCAATCAGTACCCCTCACATGGAGGTAAAACCAGTCATCATAGCTGCTTCTCTTGGTGCAGTGATTGAGTGATTCACAACTGGGCATGGAGAGCTTAGTTGCTAAATGAGTTTTACTAGATCCCAGTGCAGAATTGAGTCACAGAACTTGGACATCTAGTCTATAGTTTCAAGTTTCTCTCTTCTTGACTCAAAACTTTGGCCTTGAGCCAATGAAATTTTTTCTAGTTAGATTTAGTAAATCAAGCTACTCATTGCTTAGTCATTAAAATGGAAAAGAACTAAGAATATGTAAACAGAAACCTGAAAAAAGAAAACATTACATGTATACCATGGGGAAGTTAAGACAATTTGGCTTGTGCTTGCTTTCATTTCTCCAGCTCAGATTTATATTTATAAGTCACCCTAAACAAGAAGGATGCCTAATGTTTTAGCTTGATTGTTTATAATTGCATTACATGGAAGTCCTATCATACAACATTGTTGATTGCTGAGAGCTGTATTACCTTGTGTCACAAGCTCTGGGATTGCCGTAAAGTACCTCCCTTTCTGGAAGGAAAAGAGACATTCAGAAATAAAGCATATGGTCAGGGATAAAAACAGACTACCTAAAATATAATCAAGCATTTATTTTTGTTGTTGGTTTTTTTCTCCCCCGAATGTTCTCTTCAGTTTTTTTTCATGCTTTTTGATGTCAGAATTGGTAATTAGATTTCAAACATCATTATTTGTTTGGCATGACCTTAAGAAAGATGGGACTGAGTCTGAAAGGACTTAAAATTGAGAAAAAAATTTCAAATTTAAAGAGTTATGAATAATATAGAAAAGGGAAAAGATGAATTTGTTTATTAACATCTTAGAATGGAGGCTATTCTTAAAGTTTAGATAAGGTGATATGAGAACAACAAAAAGAATTTTCTCTTTCAAAGTAGTATCTATGAAATCTTCTACTGAATGCTGAGGTATAGTTGAAGGCAGAGATCCAATGATTGAGTCCCATCTGTGATTAAGTAAGGTTGGAATTTCTAAGGGCTGTCTTTAACCTCTTGAAATTAATGGAAGATAATAATGCTGCTTTGGGTCAAGTCCTTTGGGCACCATTATCAGAGTAAACATATCGTCAACTTTACACTTATTATGTGATCTGTACTCTGTATTGTAAGATGCATACTTCTTTATAAGCATCTCATTTTAAAAACAACCTCAAACAATGCTGTGGGGTAAGTATTAATATTTGTGTCAGTTAAGATGCTTTAGGTAGAAAGTGTCAAAGTGCCTATTTAAAGTGCCTTGAACAGTAAGGAAATGAATTATACTACACATTTAAAACTCCATTGTTAGTGTGGGCTGCTGGTGAGAGGAGAACAAAGCTCTGGCTCCATTTTCTCAGCTCCATTTCCAACTGTGTCCTTCTCCATGTGTCAACTTTGCTTTTCCGTTTAACCAAAAGTTAGCTGCCAGTGGGTCTAGGGTGCCATGATTCATTGTTCTTATCCAGTGGGAGAAAGGAGAATCCAAACATAGAGTATAAATCCTTCCCTTTAGTAGGCTTAGGTAAATTTGTGTCATATGCCCACACCTAGACCAAACACCCTCTCTAGGGAAATGCCTTGTGCTGCTTGTCTTAGTTCTATGTTCCTTGACCAATTCACTAGCAAAGCAGATGGGCTTATAATGATTGGCTCACCAATAAGATCTACCCCTGGAGCTAGTGATTTGGGTTTACTTCCCCTGTTTCCCACAGTTGTGTGAGGATAGAGAAGATCCCTGAACAACACCAAAGTCTTGTTAGGAAGAATGAAGTCGGTGCTGAATAGACAATAGACAACCAAATATCGCTACTGTCTTATTATCCTGAGTTTACAGGTGTGGAAGCCAAGAGGTTCATCAACTTGTCCAAGATCAGGCAAGTAGAATGAGGAGGAGTAGAAGAAAGAGAAGGAGGGAAAACAAAGGAAAAAAAGATGAGGGAAGAGGACAATTAGAAGGCAGCAAACACTTATATTGTACTTTACTGTGTCAGGCAGTACTCTAAGCCCTTTATATAGCAATAGAAATTCGCATATTTAATTTTTACAGCAAGCCTATGAGGTAGGGGCTATTAGTATAATTACCACTTTGCAGTTGAGAAAACAGAGGCACACGGAGTTTAAGTACCTTGCCCAAGTACATGTAGCACATCCTGTGGAGCTGAGATTTGAATGCTGGGAACCAGGAAGCTCTAGAATACCTGGTTGTAACCACTCTAAACCCATCTCTTGACTGACCTGTCCCATATCAAAGCTCCTCATGTAACCATGAGGGAAACTACTGGCCTATTCCAGTATTTCTTCTTCCTCTGAGACTAATCCTTTGATTTTTGGACCTCACATGTTATTCAGCTTGCCTCTACGTGAAACAGCCCTTCTGCTTTCTCTGTGCTGATGAATCTGTCTTTGATTATCAACTCTTTTTAATGAATGAGAGCGTAATTCTGTGAATTGTCTTCAATTATGCAGCTTTCCTGAAAGGTTGCTTGTACTTCTTTATGTTTATTCTGCTGTCTTATTGTAATCATCATCCTATGTTGATTAAGCAAAGAGCAGTAAAGGGTAAGAGAGCAATGGCTTGTAAATGAGGTACATTAACAAAAAGAAGAAATAAAGCACCACCTGAAAGATTTAATTCTGTTTGATCAAGACATCAATATAACTGTTAAATGAATTCTCTTTGAAAAAAAAAATTCTTTTTCGTTTTATCATCCTTCTTCAAAGACCAGAGATGGGAATGAGAAACTCTGTTTCAGAGGGGGAGCTAAGATTGCAGCCAGAGCCCAACTCAAAGAACAATCTGAATTTAGAATTAAGTCTTATTCTAAAATTCCAAATATATGTTAGTGTGGTCAGCTACATGTACAAGTTCTACCTTCATAAAAACAAATGTTATAAAATTATATTTATCCCCAAGGACACTAAAATAAATCACTCCCATAGGAGCCTGAGACCTCAGTGCTTATGGCAGAGGCTGAGGGATGCAGGCAGGCAGAGTGGCGTGGGAGATTCGGATTTAAGGAGCCTGTTCTTCAATTGTGGCTTCATCACTCAGCAGTTGTGTGAACTTCTTGGAACTCAGTTTTCTTGTTTGTAAAATGTTTTTATAGGGCCACATTCTGAGTTTGATTGTTAATCAAAATTGTTTCACTTCTACAATTTTTACTAATAAACCCTCACCCACCCACTTGCTCCCTGTCACCCAGCTATTTTTATCGTGAATCCCTCCATTCTTCCCCTGGTCCTCTCCTCTCTATTATTAGACTCTTCCTGACATTATTTCTTTTCCTACCCAGCTTCCACTCTCAGCAGCAGCCTCATTGCTGTTCCCACTTCCCTATTTAGACTTTCTTTGAGGGCAATGGTCATAACTCATATTTCCATGGAATTCCCCGTAGCTCTTATAATGATACCAACTACACATGAAATAGCTGTTGAGTGATACTGAAGATGATAAAATAGTAAATTAAAACAGTGCACATAACTCTGTTTTCATGAGTTCTGTACTATTTCCTTTTGTAAAAACTAAAACAAAACAAAGCAAACAAATGAAACAAGAACATAATCTTCTTTATAATAAGTATTGCAAGTAAAGGATTGTCTCTCGAACCTTGTTGTTGATGTAGGAAAATATCTTTTATGAAGTTGTCCTAATGGATGTTTTCATTAGTATGTATTGAAGTTACTAATAAAAACACAGGAGTGCTTAAAGTGCATGCCTTAAGGCCTTGTGAAACGGCTTTGGTTGGGTAATGCGATACATTATGTGTTATCAGAAAAAAAGTAATGGTGCTCTGGTTGACAAATATTCCAGATGTCAACATCACCCATATATAAAGATGACTGGATATTAAAACATTCACACAGTGTATTTCTTCCTATTTAACACAGTCAATCTTTGTAACAAAAAAGACAAGTGAAAATAAACAGCAGAACCTGAGATCTCTAAATAATGGTTGATAATGCATACGTTAAGGACAATATATCAAATAAGTAATTCATTTATCTATTTTTTAAATGCAAGCAATTTTTTAACCCAATCCATTAAGTGAATGCTGTTTACCCACAGTAGCCCATTCCATTCCTGTGATGGACCAAATGTGTTCTTAGCCTTTCCCTGGGTCAGGTTAACAGAGGGCACATGTGAATATGCTTATCATTCTAAGCCCTCATCATCTTCAGAATCAGACCCTGTGATGGACTCCTACATTGGCCTTGGTTTTCTGAATCGAAGCCCTCATTCATGGGATTGGCCCCAAACAAACCAGTCCTTAAATCAGGGACCATTCACAGTGCCCCCATGGGGTTTTTAGCCACCCAGACTCTGAAATAGTAACCTGATGGTTTAAAATCAGAAAGTCTCTTTATTTCTTCTACTATATTTCTTTGAACTGAAAAGGAGTAGAGGCCAAAAAGAAGCCACAGGGATTATCTCCTAGTTTTCTTTTTCCTCTCTCACATTTCTCCCTTCTATTCTACTAATAGGTGTCTATCAAGAGGATATATACAAAAGAGGTTGCACTGAACTTTAATAATCTCCAAAATCTTCACCTTCAAGAGTAGAAAGAATCATGAGTTAAATTTCTCATTGGTTTAGAGTGTAAAAATGTATTCTTACTGATAATAAAAGTTAAATTTACTAAAAAGCAGTATAGATGCCTTGTGTTCTTGAAAATTATATGGTGTAAGTTGCATACACATTAGACCTCCTTTTCCAAGAGAATGTTTCCTCTTGTTCCATTATTCAGATGTTTCAGTCTTTCAGATCCCATGGTGAACTGAGAGCAATAAAATATTGTCTACAATATTTTTGTTCTAGGAAAATCAGGGACTTGCATTAATATGAGTGTGACTGTTTCTATAGCAGTCATGTATTACTCAGGGTTCTTTAAAGAAACGTTAAGGAATTGGCTCACACAATTATGGAAGCTGAAAATTCCTAAGATCTGCAGTTGGCAAACTGGAGACCCAGGACTAGTGATGGTGTAATTGAGTCTGAGTCCAAAGGCCTGAGAAGTAGGAGAGCTGATGATCTAAGTTCTAGTCCAGAAACCAATGAGCTAGAGGCCCAAGAACAGTGCATGCTTCATTCCAAGTACAAAGGCTGGAAAAGACTAATGTCCCAGCTTAAGCAGTCAAGCAGGAGGAATTTCCTCTTACTCGGCCTTTTTGTGCCGTTCAGGTATTTAATTGATTGGATCAAGTCCACCCACATTCAAGAGAGAAATCTGCTCTACTCAGCCTACCAATTCCAATGTTAATCTTATCCAGAAACACCCTCAGAGACACACCCAAAAAATGTTTGATCAATTGTCTAGGCATCCCATGGCCCAGTCAAGTTGACACATAAAATTAATCATCACAGCACTCTTGTATTCTTATAATAAATCATTTAAGGGAAATCAGTAAGAACCACAAAGTCTTTGTGTTGGAGATAAAAATGGTTACCTGCTTTGGAATATTCATGTTCATTGCTTATCAATTCACCTCTTTCTTAAGACCTCATAAGAAAAGAAAAAACTGTTGGGATTTACAAATAGAATTTTATAAATTGTAATCATAAAGAGGAGTGTCCTCACCCACCAAGCTATTGATACTAGTATATTTAAAAAATAATACATATTGGTCAATGTGACTTTTACAACAGGCCTATGGAGGTACTTATATAGTTTTAATTATTTTACGAATGAAGAACTGAAGGTGAGAGCAGCCAATCATCTGGCACAAGGTCCCATACAGAACTAATAAGTGGCTGAACAAGAAATGAACTGTCTACAGGACAAGCAGCCCCATAAATGTGGGAACTGTGTAGTTCCACAGGGCCCGTGGTCAAGGGGGTCTGCACTTGGTTTAATGTTCTGCAGTGGTCCTCTTGAAATGTTATATATTTTATATATATACATATAAATAAAAATAAGTTTAAATATGTAAATATTATATATAAATATATGAAATTTAAATAAACTTAATATATATATTTAAAGAAGGGGCCCTGCATTTTCATTTTCCACTGGGCACTACAAATTATGTAGCCAGTCATTTTTCTTTGGCTATAAAGTCCTTGCAGTCCATCACACCTCTTTTTAGAGATGAATTCTCCCAGCAGGAATAGTTACTACCTGTTTATTGCCAACCCAATGATGAACCCTTGCTGTTTTCTGCCTGTTTCACTTAGGAAGGCTTGGTACCTGAATTGATATTGAAACATTCATATGACAAATATTCGAAAGGCCAGCTTTTAGCTTTCTGGCTGGTTAAGTGCCACATAGCAGGACACAAAATTATTTCATGTAGTTTGCTAACTCCCTTTAGTTGTTATTTCTTTTAAACATATTAAGTTGTATTTTCATTTCTACACATGGAGTCATTTCCCTTCTCCTCCATTATGTTCTAATATATTTCATTCTATTTGGACTTATCTAAGTTGCACTGGTTTTCTAAAAGTGACTGCTGCTACTGATATATTTTATTATTAATAATAAACATTTAATGTTGGGCATATGGTATGAAGTCATTTTTAAAATTAAATCCAGTTTTTTACTATCTAAATTAAGAATGTCAGCTTTGAAGTTAGTGGGTTGACTGACAATGATATTTTTGTTTTTTCATTTATTTCTTAAAGTGTTTAACATTTAATGTTCTAATTTAAGAGTTGAAGAAATGATGTGGTATATTTTTGAAACTTACTTTTATCAAACCCTAAAATACATTTTTGTTTCAAGCCATATATAAGACCGTTACTATGAGTTGGTGTTTTGAATTGGGACACTTTCTTTTCATTAGTAATGTATATTCCCCCTTTTATTTTAAAGTGTTCCCTATAGCCATCACATATTGCCACAGTTTGGGGGCATATGTGAAGACATCTGATCTGACTCTCTTACTTCTGAGGTAAAGAAACCGAGTCCAGTGAGACTAGCTCAAATAGTGACAGATCAAAGATCAGATGCAAACCCCCTGAATTTAAGTCCAGGACTCTTTTATTACACCACACAAATCTCTTTTGATGCCTAAAATCACTAAGATTTCTTTTTAAATTTTCTGTCCATGATAAATATTTATATAGTCTTGAGCCTCAAGTTAAAGTTTAGCTTACCAAAGGCCCTATGAATATGAGAATCAGAAATCTGGAGGGAAATATTAGCTTTTCAGTAAAAGGGCAACAGTGTTTTTGAAATGTTCAATGTCATGTGAGGAAAAAAAAATTCTGTCTTTCCAATTAAATTCTCCTAACACTCAACGATGCCTCTAGATTGTTTTGGTAACTTTATAATTCTATAACATATTTTATAAAAACAAATTGTCTAGGAAAGTTGTCAGTAAACTCATGTCAAAGTAAGTACACTGTGAAAATAATGTAGTTGACTCTGTACTGTAATAAGGAATACCAACCAGCAAGGTGGTCTGGTTAAAAGGAAGTTTTTTTCTCACCAGCGTTCTAGTTTTTTGGTTGCTAGTGGAAAATAACAGAAATACATTTGCAATAAAGACAAATTATGAATTCTGTGCAACTGACAGCAGATCTAATGAGGGTCCTTTGAAACATGGTAATTGATTCCAAGTTGCTATTGTATTAATACAAAAATAGGTTTCTTCTTAAATCTGTCTATCTAGGTAATGCTTCAGGGATGCAATATAATTGTACTGACCAGGCGTATAACTTGTGATAGCCAATTACAGGATTTTTGTAGGAAAAGTTGCCTCTGATGTAGTTTGGAAACAAGAGTTCTGATTAAACATTCCTTAAGAAACGAGTACAAATCTTTTTAAAAGATATCTTGTTTTTCCTCTTTCTTATGACCAATTTTCATAACTTTTACAGCTTTGCTTCCGTTATGCAAGTGGCCTTTTAATCTTATGCAAAGACATTACTCTTAGAGAAATAACTTTTTTATTCCTTATCCTGGTGCCCCATGCCACAGAATAAAAGCGGTCAGTCCTGGTTAGGAAAAGAACCCCACAGATAGAAAACCTAAAAATAATATTCAAACACCGATCATTCTTTTACACTCCTCACAGTACTAGAATTACTTAACTAAATTTCATCTCTATTGATCACCCCTAACATGCCGCCACAGCTGTACAGTTTCCTTGGTATTGCCTGTCAGCCACTAGGGGGCATCCTGGGGCAGGCAGACAGCTCTAGGTTTGCACTTTCACCCTTCTACTTGGTGGGTGTCCCATCAAGTCCTTGGCCAACTTAGTTAAGCTCCCTTATTCTCAGTAACTTCTTTTTAAAAATTGAGATAATAATACTAGATTAGCTTATAAGTTATTTTCCATATATAGAGAAATAATAATGCTGGATTAGCTCACAAATTACTTCCCATATACAGATGGATTATTGAGTAATACATAAAATGATAAGGGAACAAGAACATCTTGGAACTAAGAAATGTCACTTTCAGTGACTTTTCTGCCAGCAGCCCAATCGGACAGCTGTATTCCATCTTAGATAGGGAGATGGAGGGCTCCCAGAAGGTTGCTTTGACTCTTTCAAATTCTTGAAATTCCCATCTGTGGAAAAGTATGTTTATGGACCCAAATGAATTTCAGTCCACTGGCCATATGCAAAATCTGGCAGAATGTCATCCCTCCCTAATTGCTTGATTCTAGCTAGAGCCAATGTGCTTGGTAAGCAGGAATGTTTGTGGTCGAGGCATTCAGTTGAATAAGCTGAATTAAAATGTTTCAAAACTCCATACACACTTCAGTTGATAGTACAGCATTTAAGGCAGAATCATGTGGAACACATCCAAAGTGCAAAACTCTGTGGGAATTCCACCAAGCCACATACCATGGCTTTATATCTGAAATGACTAACTGGAATCACTGGGTGAGGCTCTTGGCAGTGTCCATTTATGGCCCATAAAGTTGGCTTCAACTTTACAGACAGGTTCATATTCCTGGAAACTGCAGGCTGCTAAATACATTGATATACACATTCATGACATGCGTATATTCATAGGCACTTTGAAACTTGTTTCAAGGTGACAATCAATATGTTTACATACAATTCAACTTCAGGTTATAAAATTATCATTAAGCAATATGTTCATGGGAAAGAATTTTGGAGAAAACTTAGTCTTGACTCCCTAGGATAGCTTTGAAGATAACACGAGTTCATGTGTACCTATAAATATCATTGCAACACTGCATAATACTTAGTCTATCAACAATTTTCTTTTTCCTTTATTATTACATTAGTATACCTAAAGTCCATGGTGGTATTTACTTTCTTAAGGTGAGGTTAAGGCTTCTTCCTTATAACAACAGGTAACACCAACTGAAGTACTCTAGTAGAGGGACTCACATTTATTCAGGAGTTGCCATTTGCTAGGCAGTAAGCATTGATTATTACCACGTATAATTTTGCCTCGAGGGAACATTTGGCAATATCTAGAGACATTTTCATTGTCATTACTGTTACCTACAGGGTAGAGGCCATGGATGGTGCTAAACATCCAACAATGCACAGGAAATCACTCCACAACAAAAAATTATCCAGTCCAAAACATCTATTATATAATCCTATGGTTGAAAAACCCTGCGCAAAGATAATTGGTTTTGATTTAGTCTTCGTAAACATCATTTGAGGTGGATTATGGTGTTATCCTCATTTCTCAGAGGCAGAAATTGTAGCACTGAGAGGGGGAGAGGCTGTCCAAGATTGTAGAACTTGTGGAGGAGTGCAAATTTGGCTTATTCTAGAACCTAGTTTCTTCATCCTTGCTCTCTAAGGGTAGAGTCCGAAACAGAACTCTTTTTTCTGCTTCCAGAACACATTGCTGCCTTCTTAGTTAATTACTAGAATGAATGATTATAAAACTTACCTCCTGCAGAGTGAGTGAGTTTTAAAAATTTGTTTAAAACAACAAAAGAATTCACATATTGTGTAACTTTGGATTTAGGGTACCATTGAAATTGATTTCCTTAGAGGTGTGCTAGAGGCAAAGTTTGCTAATCTGGTTGGTGGAAGAGTACTGGTGGAATCTTTCTTTAGGTTTCTCTCTATGTTTAAGTTCCTGCTTGCACCTGTGCTAGTCAATGTATTTGTTGAGGAAGATTTATGGTTCTATTCTTTTAGGAGAGAATATTCACACTTTGGCTTTGCCTTTTGAGGCTTACACATATTATCACTAAAGTACATTATCATTTTTCATCTGGTGGTAGGGAGGATTTTACCACCTTCTGAGTTAGGTGGAATGCTCTAGGCAGAGAAAGGATTAGGGCTCATCAGAGCCAATAGGGCCAACTTTGTTCCGTTGTTTTCCTGCCAAAAAGAAATAGGGGATAATAGAAACTCATCAGTTGCTATTTGCAAAACTGTTTAATTTCCCTGAATATTTTGTTCTCTTGTTGACATGAGCATTGACTGCTTTTTTGCCATAGTGGGATAATTTATTTTATACGAGGTGGTGTTTTCAACAACCACTATAGAATGTTCTGAATCACTGTGAACTCTATCTGGATAAAAATAAATGCTCTTATTTTCTCCAATGGATATTTTTCCTTGCCCATGAAAGTTATGACTGGTTCTGCTTATTCCTCAAACCGATTATATGAACTTCTGATAAATGTTTGAATAAAATGTAAGAAATATTGTAAATAAGCAAAAATCCCACAGAAATCAGAGGAAGTATGTTCTACCTCTGCTCTTCTAAGTCTGACCAACAGTTAAATAAATTCTTGGGTTCTATGAACAGAATTTTTACATGATGAATTTTTTTTTTTTTTAATTGATCATTCTTGGGTGTTTCTCGCAGAGGGGGATTTGGCAGGGTCATAGGACAATAATGGAGGGAGGGTCAGCAGATAAACAAGTGAACAAAGGTCTCTGGTTTTCCTAGGCAGAGGACCCTGCGGCCTTCCGCAGTGTTTGTGTCCCTGGGTACATGAGATTAGGGAGTGGTGATGACTCTTAAGGAGCATGCTGCCTTCAAGCATCTGTTTAACAAAGCACATCTTGCACCGCCCTTAATCCATTTAACCCTGAGTGGACACAGCACATGTTTCAGAGAGCACCGGGTTGGGGGTAAGGTCACAGATCCACAGGATCCCATGGCAGAAGAATTTTTCTTAGTACAGAACAAAATGAAAAGTCTCCCATGTCTACTTCTTTCTACACAGACACGGCAACCATCCGATTTCTCAATCTTTTCCCCACCTTTCCCCCCTTTCTATTCCACAAAACCGCCATTGTCATCATGGCGCGTTCTCAATGAGCTGTTGGGTACACCTCCCAGACGGGGTGGTGGCTGGGCAGAGGGGCTCCTCACTTCCCAGTAGGGGCGGCCGGGCAGAGGCGCCCCTCACCTCCCGGACGGGGCGGCTGGCCGGGCGGGGGGCTGACCACCCCCACCTCCCTCCCGGACGGGGCGGCTGGCCGGGCGGGGGGCTGACCCCCCACCTCCCTCCCAGACAGGGCGGCTGGCCGGGCTGGGGGCTGACCCCCCCACCTCCCTCCCAGACGGGGCGGCTGGCCGGGTGGGGGGCTGACCACCCCCACCTCCCTCCCGGACGGGGCGGCTGGCCGGGCTGAGGGCTGACCCCCCACCTCCCTCCCGGACAGGGTAGCTGCCGGGCAGAGACACTCCTCACTTCCCAGACGGGGTGGTTGCCGGGCGGAGGGGCTCCTCACTTCTCAGGCGGGGCGGCTGCCGGGCGGAGGGGCTCCTCACTTCTCAGACGGGGCGGTTGCCGGGCGGAGGGTCTCCTCACTTCTCAGACGGGGCGGCCGGGCAGAGACGCTCCTCACCTCCCAGACGGGGTCGCGGGGCCGGGCAGAGGCGCTCCTCACATCCCAGACAGGGCGGCGGGGCAGAGATGCTCCCCACATCTCAGACGATGGGCTGCTGGGCAGAGACGCTCCTCACTTCCCAGATGGGATGGCGGCCGGGAAGAGGCGCTCCTCACTTCCTAGATGGGATGGCGGCCGGGCAGAGATGTTCCTCACTTTCCAGACTGGGCAGCCAGGCAGAGGGACTCCTCAACTCCCAGACGATGGGCGGCCAGGCAGAGACGCTCCTCACTTCCCAGACGGGGTGGCGGCCGGGCAGCTACATGATGAATTTTCATCTACATTAAAAGTCAAGGTGACCAAACAAAGGTGGTATTTTAATATAATTAATAAGAAGCAAAGGAGACCAAGATCAGTGCCTTATCTACAGAAATATGAATGTGATGATCATTAACACCATGGCAAAAAGATGAAATTAGTTGTGGGGTGAGGCAGGTGGCATTGGCTCAGGACTCATAATCCCAAAGAATTTCACGTTTTGACTTCTGTCATCTTCCAAAGGAGAGCAGTGCTACTATCACGTAGGTATAGCAGCAGAACTAAAGGAAGAAGACATTAGTCATATGACTTTTGTCTTATTGTTGAAAAATACTAGATAGTACACTGTGAATTACTATTTCATCTTGAAATGATCTTGAGAGTCACACAATCACACTGTACTATTTGGGGGTATATATGGTAAAAAGCATTACGTTTTAAATGTTAGTTAGAAGTAAACATTTTGACATCCCATCTTGGCATTTCTTCATAAATTAATATATGAAGAAATTCAAGTACAGGAGTAGCTTCCACTTCTCTTGACCTCTGAGGGGCCCAGGAGAAGGCCATCAGCCCTGGACCATATGTATAGAGAAATCACAGGGGCTGAGAGCAGGTCTTCTGATTATTTATTACTTCCTAACAAACCACTCCAAAACTTACCGGCTTCTAAAAACAATCACTTTATTATCTTTCACAGTCTGTGGGCTGGTTAGACCTAGCTAGGGTGAGTTGATGATTAAAGACTGTCATATAGGGGTTTGAACAGCCAACATAAATCACCACCATGTGGCTGATCATGAACTCTGCCTGTGAGCTGGGAGCTCAGCTGAGGGATCTGACAGTAGAACCTAGACATGGCCTCTAGTTGTGATGTGGATTTTGCACAGCGTGGCAACTGGGTTCCAAGAAAGAGTGCCGCAAGAGCAAGTGTTTTAAGAGGGAAGAATCAGAAATGCCTATCCTTTTAAAAGTCAGGACTAGATCTGATGCAGCATTACCCTTTCCATGTCCTGTTGATTAGCAAGCAACAGGAAAAACCTGGATTTTAAGAGGCAGGAGGGGAATAAACTCCAACTCCCAATGGAGAGAGTGACAAAGAATTTGCAGCTGTTTTAAGCCCACAAAGTAGATAGGGAAATGCTGAATCTCACTCCACCTTAGACCAAAGAGTCACTAGCACTTTCTACACATTGCAAATATTCAGTAAGGATTTATTTCTCATGCTTTACTTGTATCAATTAACTTGATCCTCACAACAATACTGTGTGAGGTAGGTGAAAAACTGGAGGCATAGAGATATGGAGTCAATTGCCTGAGTGAAATAACTGGGGTATCAATCAAGGGCTCAAACCCAGAAGGTCTTCTTCCAGGACCCCTCTCTTAATCACTATTCAAGCAACTCTCCCAACAGTGATTTTCCACACTTTTTTGATATATATACCATGGATTCTTAAATTTTTTTTCTCTTTAAAAATTGTTCCTTCCTTTTGAAATTCATCCTCACTTTTATAATTTTAGCTTGTCAATATTAGTATGACACATTTGGGAAACTTGCTTTATAATGCTCCAAATTCTGAGGAGTAACTATTCTATCTAGGGATGTGGTCTGTATTTTAAATATGCATGCAGTTTGGAGCTAGACTGAGAGAGTAGTCAAGAGCAAAGGGGAGTCCAGAGACTAATTCCTCTTTTGGGTTTCTCACAGGCTACATGGCTTCTCACTGAGATATCTCTCCCACTCTTTGCAAGTCTCTGCATAACCTTCCTTGCATATGGGACTTTAAGGTTGCCACCACCTCTCTCCACATAGTAACCTGTTACACTTATTTCTCAGTGTGCAGCACCTCATTGTCTAGGTTATTTCTTAGATCAGGTTTCTGAAGGATGGAAAATCTAATTATTGTTTTATTAGTTTGAGCCACACTACTTATAGATCACTGCTTAACCTATGTTGTCTGTCCTTAGTTCTTATGCCTGCCCTGGTTCAGAGAATCAAACCCAGAGGTAAAGCTGGGGCTGGGGTTCCTTATGCAAAGAGAGCTGTCTCTTTAGTAGGAACTCTGGATTGGCTCATTTTGCTTTAAAGAAGTTATGGGCAGGAGGAGAGTAACTGAGAAACTGTAATTGAGATATAATTAAAATAAGATAAAATTGATCAAATAAGCAGAAAAAGTGGGAGAATTGAATGGCTGAGTAGAAGTAATTTTTCAGCGTTGGAAGAGATCTCTGAGGCATGATAACGCCAGCAGTGGTGCTATATTCTGGCACATTAGGGAGAAGGGTTTTGAGATGTGAGTGAAGGTATTGACCATATCCTGCTAAGTAATGCTGTGACTGATTGACAATATCGTGGTTGAATCTAAAGCTAGATGACCCTGTCAGTAGGGAGGCAATAGTGGGGAGAAACATTTCTGCCCTAGAAAGATTTCCTGTCTATTCTACCAAGTTACTCTGTGTTGCTCAAAGTAGGATAATTCCAGGTGACCAGGTCATATGAAATTATATGTTAAAGAATTTGAATTTTAATGGCATAAAATGCTAGATTATATTATGTACATAACACTTTTATCTACACTGTAAAAATAAAGGTATTTGATAATATTTATCAGTGTTTGATTCTTCAAGGAGGGGCCTAGCTGCCATGGCTAATGCCTGTAATCTCCGCACTTTAGTAGACTGAAGTGGGTGGATCGCTTGAGGCCAGGAGTTTGAGATCAGCCTGGGTTTCATAGTGAGACCGTATCTCTATCAAAAAAGAAAAGAAAAGAAAAGGTGTAATTAACTGGGCGTGGTGACATGTGCCTGTAGTTGTAGCCACTCAGGAGACTGAGGCAGGAGGATTACTTGAGACCAGGCATTTGAGGTTACGGTGATCGCATAACTACATTCCAGCTTGGGCAACAGAGTAAAAAACTGTCACTGAAAAAAAAAAAGAGAGAGAAAGGGATACAAGTTGTATTGGATCATTTCTATTAATTTAGTACCCAAGTAAGTAAAACTAAAAGAAGTTCCTTCAAGAGTATTAAAACATGTTGCCCTGGACAATGAAAAGCAGTTTTCCTTAGAAGAAACTCGTTAGATCTTTCAGTGATGGTTAGCGCTGTGGACCACTGAGTCTAACCACAGGGAGTTGAATCCAGGCTTGACCACAGTCTGGCTTTTCTGAGTTACCTTCACCAAGGAGCTCCAGGATGCTCAGCTGAAAAACGGGAAAGTAACATTCACGTGGAGATGTTGTCAGAGTGAAATCGATAATCTGTATAATTCTTTTTGCAAATTATAGTATTTTCACAAGTGTGGCTAACAATAACATTTTGAACTGTTAGAAGTAGTTTGATTCCAGAGGGTATGTAGTAGGGCGGGTACTGGGGTGAACTGAGTGAAACACCTTGGGTGGAAAATTTAAGGGGGTGCCAAAGACTCAATATTCAAGATAAATAATATTTTAATGCAATATTTTAAAAATCACTACAAAATAAGTCCATGAAAAGAAAATATCAATATTTTAATTACAGGCAGGATCTGACTCTGCCTCATTCGCCTAGTTTCAATAAAGCTTATTTTACGAAAGCAGGCAGCCAGCCCATGAATCGGAGTTGCTGTTTTGATTTTTTTTAAATATTTAAATATCATGTATCTTGATTACTGAGTATTTTTTTTTTTTTTTTTTGGTGCCCTCTAAAATTTTGTGCTCTGGGTGAGTGCTTCACTTCCTACATTGTAGTCTGGGCTCTGATGTGTAAGTTTTTAAAAGAATTTAATCAGAGATTCAGAATTCTAAAATTCAGATCCTAGATGTAGACAAGACCTTTGGGGCCATCATGATTAACCTTCTATGTAGTTACAAATGCTTTCTAAGCACCCTTTTTAAATGTCAAAGATTATAGTTTTTCCTTTTATAGCCTATGACCTATAAATCATACATGTACATGTGGAATTTTTAACCTTTTACAGGTTCACTAAACCTTGGCTGCTGCGTCTCGAGGGCACTTCATGAAACAAGAAAACCTCTTACCTAGAGGCCCTCGAGTTGGACTTTGACTTGCTGTGGTTTAGAGGGTCCATTTGCTTTTCTGTTTATGTTCATTTCTTTTATACTCAAGGTTTTTTCTGACCTCCTTTGACTATTTTCTGAGGGCAAATTTTAACCATCCTAAAAACAAGGAACATCTCAGGAAATTGTTTTCTTTGCTGCTTTTCAATATTGATGGGATTCTGGCAGTGGAAATATAATTAAAATCACAGCAGTTATCAAGTTCCTTTTTATAATAAACCTTTTATCCCTTTACCTAACCTGCTCCTGCCTTTCCTTGTTTCCCAGGGTTAAATGGCAGTGAGCCATTTGGCTCAACCAGCTGTACTTTGGCAGGGCTTGCTATGAATCAGATGTCCTTTTCCTCCTCGAAGGCAGAATGTGTCACTTACTTAGACTCACCTCACATTTCAATTTGCAAGTGAGCATGTGGCTTCTGTGCCTTCTATTGGCAGCAGTTGATATATCAACCTAAATGATAGCCCTTGAATGTGTAATTATTGCAGCTCTTCATGGCTTACCTTCCGCCACTCACCCATTCCTGAACTTCATATCCCTCTAGTTCATTTTGTGCATCTTTAAGGTAAAATATTCACCCAGGGATCACAAAGGGAAGAGTAACCCCCTTAAGGCAATGGTCCCCAACCTTTTTGGCACCAGGGACTGGTTTCATGGAAGATAGTTTTTCCATGGGACAGGGTTGGGTGGGGGGATGGTTTCAGGATGAAACTGTTTCATCTCAGATCATCAGTCATTAATTAGATTCTCAAAAGGGGTGTGCAGCCTAGATCCCTCACATGCATAGTTGACAGTAGAGTTCGTGTTCCTGTGAGAATCTAATGCTGCTGCTGATCTGACAGGAGGAGGAGCTCAGGCGATGATGCTCACTCACCTGCTGCTCACCTCCTGCTGTGTGGCCCGGTTCCTAACAGGTCATGGACTGATATGGGGTCCACGCCCCAGGATTTGAGGACCCCTGCCTTAAGGAACCAAGAACAAAATAATAGGTGTCTAGTCAGACAGTGGGCTAAAGAGTGACCATGGCAAAGCTTCAGGCTTTGAGAGCTAACTGGATTGTTTTTTGTCCCCAGAAGGGTATGTGTGATGGTTAATTCTATGTGTCAACTTGACTAGGTCACAGTGTGTGCCCAGATATTTGACTATACATTATTCTGGGTATCCACGAAGGTGTTTTTAGATAAGATTAACATTTGAATCAGTAGACTAAGTAAAGCAGACTGCTTTACGCACCAGTGTGAGTGGCTCTCATCTAATTAGTTGAAGGCCTGTGTAAAACAAAAGGCTGACCCTCCAGCCAGTAAGAGGGATTTCCTTGTTCCTGAAGACCTGGAGCTGGAACATCAGTCTTTTGCTTCTTTCAGACTAGAACTGAAACAACAGCTCTTCTTGGTTGTGGAGCCTTTCAGATTTCAGACTAAACCTTAGATCTTCAGTTCCTCTGGTTCTCAAGCCTTGGATTCAGACTGCAACTATACCATCAGCAGTCCTGGGCCTCCAGCTTGCCAACTGCTGTTCTTGGAACTTCCTAGCTTCCATAATTTTATTGTATATAAATCTCTTTATATACATCTTATTTATGTATGTATAAATAAGATATATGTATACATATACATGTATAAATAAGATACATAAAGATATAAGATGTGTTATATATTAATATTATATGAAGGATAATTTTATATGTTATATATGTATAAGAGATTTGTTATTATAAGGAAATGGCTTAGGAATTTCATATGATACATAGCATGCCGTGTTAATCAGTGTTCCCCAGAGAAATTGGAGAAATCTTATTGGTTCTGTTTCTCCGGAGAACTCATGAATACAGCATGCTGCCTGTCATTGGGAAATTCACTGCAGTCTAAGAAACCTAACAATGTGACATACAACAGTAGAGAATATATCTGATCAAAGAAAAAAAATAAATGCATCCACAAGCACATGGAAGATTATAGGGAATATTTGTCATTTGGAGAATCTTTCCGGTATCTGAACCCCTTGCCTATGTTTGGTGAAGATGGTGCCTTATAAATATTAATGAGAGGCAGAGCCCCTTTCCTTATGTAGAAGAAAAATAAAATCAAAACCAAAGCCACATTCTCATCACTGTTTTTCTTAGTAGGTAGGCATGACCCCTGTGACCTAGATTTGAACAACCTGAGGCACATACTCTGAATTTTTGAGATGGAGTTTGTGACACAGAGAAGTGGGGTCAATGCAGATTTTTTTTTGATGATGGTTAAAGTGACAACAGTACACAGTTTCTAAGCACAACAGCGGAAATGGTGACTTCAGGGGCAACCAATATCTGAATCCATTGGTGTCAGCCCATGGTGGAGAGCTAGAGCATGGAATGTGGGTGCCGGGGGCAGAGGTCTCCTCATTGGGCAGGATCCACAGCGTAATTTTGGCTGTAGGAGTTCTGGCTGCATGGCTTCCGTTCATTCTCCCCATTTCTCAAATCTGGCTCTCCAGACTTCATTGGCAATTGTGTTACGTAATACGTTCAGTTTCTGTTTAATTAGCCAGTCATTGTTGGTTGTTTCTATCTAAGAACCAGGTCTGATTCATTTACTCATTTCCCTAATAATTTTTTGAGTACCTACTATATACCAGACACTCTTTTGGATGGGAAAGAAAGAGCAATGATTAAGACAGACAACGTATTTTCTCTTATAAAGACTGTATTTTTGTAGGGCAAATGAATAAATAAATAAATAAACAAGAATATAAACAAGGAAAAATCAGCTTGATGTAAGAGCAATGGAGAAAATAAAATAGAGTGATGTGATAGAAAGGGACAGGAGGATGAGAAACAGTGTTCAGGGAAGCGTTCTCTAAGGAAATAACTTTTACATTGAGACCTAAATGGCAAGAAGGAGCCAACCACACAGATAATGGAGAGATGGAGTCTTCTGCCAGGGTAATGGTAAGTTCAAAGGCCCTGAAACAGGAAGTCAATACAAGTTCAAACTCCAGGGTATTTTAGAGCTCCTCTGATTCAAACATCCAGACGTAGAAAGAAACTGAAGTGTAAAAATTTTTCAAGCCTTCTGTGAGGACTCTTAAGGGATTCAGTAAACAAATTGTAACTATAGTGAAAAATAAAAAGCAGAGTGCAACGTGGAAGTGAGTGCGTTTCTGTTTAAATTGAAACTCCCGGCACAAATGTTTTCCCTTTGTTTGGTTCTTCTTAGTTTTTTCTGAGTTCATATTTTCCTAGCCCAGTTTTATCTTTCCTGTCTTTTCAACAGCGTGTATTAGGAGAACTGGTGAACTAGCAGCAGCCCCTTTCTTCAATGACTTTCCTCAGGTGTGTAATGATGGGAATGGGAATAAATTTCAGTATAGTTCAAGTGTGTGAGTCAGTAAAGAAATACTAAGATGGTCAATGGACCAATGAGAAGTTTGCTACATCTGGGACCGACTACTACATACGATTCTTCTCAACTATAAAAATATCTGTGAAGTAAGCAGGTTTAAATAACTTTTAAAAACTCTAAAACAGTGCTGCCAAATACAAGTATAACACAAGCTATGTATGTAACGTTAAATTTTCTATTACCTACACTATAAAATTTTTTAAAAGGCTAAAACAAATCAGGCAATATTAATTTTAACAATATATTTTAACCAGTATATCCAAAATATTATTCCAAAAATTATTAGTGAGTTATTCTACATTCTTTTTAAGCTAGGTTTTTAAAATCTGTCTATATTTTACATTTATAGCACACATGGACTCTCAATAGCCACATATCAGGTGCTGATGCTGAATAGACACACGTGGCTAGTGACTACCATTTGGAAAGAGCAACTTTAGATGGAGGCTGATTTGGTTACAGAGTGCTTGGAGACCAGGAAGTGGGATAAATCACTGCATGAATCCTTGTAATATCCTAGGTGTCTGTTTTTGTTATGTTTGCTTCCTTTTCCATATTCACTGGCTCCTTTGTAAGTCCTCTGCATTTCACCACCCCTCTGTCACCAGTTCTGCCTTTTCCCCTCTTCCCTGAAAAGTTCTCTAAGCAGGGAAAAGTTGTTAAGCATTTTAAAACTGTTTTTTAAGTTTGTTTGTTTGTTTTTACAGTTCCCTTTTTTGGTGACTTACTTTTCATCTTATCCTTCATTTAAAGAAGGCATCCTGAAAAGCATAATGAACCCCTCAGAATCAATCCCACACCCTCTTTTGTCAAATATCTCCTTCCCTCCCCATAATTAAGAGTTTATAAAAGGAACCAGGAAGTGTTTATCCATGATGCTTAAAACACAAAAATAGGAACTCTAGGTTTTCTTTCTATATGGTGATAAATTTTTCTCCTTTCTGAGTCACTAGCTGATTTTCAGTTTAGGGTAATATTATTTCTACACACCTACTTAATTTTAATGTGACAAAAATGAGTTTTGTGCAGTGTTTCCTCCTGCAAAAAATGCTGCCTCTCTATTTATCCAATAGACCACACTGATTCCACCATGCCTTTTTTGTTTTGCACATGTGATTTTAAGAGGTCCACTCTTTTTCTAAACTATGAAAAGCTATATAAATATTGGAAATTATAGCATAAGAACAATACAAATATACTAGTACTGATATATTCATTAACATTTATGCTTAACATTTATCCTTCCTGATATTTGAAAGAAAACAAGTAATTGTTAAATGAATGTGTACAGGGATCCATGTGTTCCTTATCTTCATTCACTTATTATGCTATAAGTCATAGATTATTAATCAGCCAACCACCTTCTTGATATTGGAAGGGAGGCAAAATCTATTTTCTCCATGATGAAAATCCCAATTACTTGGTGCAAAATTAAGACCCACCAATTATATAAAGGTCACACATTCAATTCCTCACATGTCTGTGGGAAACATGAAAAAGGGTCATTGCATTTACCCTCTGCCATAGAAGCACCACACTTTTGTGTTGCATAGTCAGACACCACTTAAGATACTGGACTTCCTTCAGCTACCTAAGGAAGAATCAGCTAGGACCCACAGTGTTTCTCAAAGGTTTTCATGTCAAGACTCATGCACAAAATATTTTATATGCTGACTGTATTAATGATCAGAGATGATGCTGTATACCAGGCCTCTCCTGGTGGTGATAAGGGCTGTCAGATCAATACCTGAGCTCCTGTAACCTATTCACAGTGTCCCACTGGCTGGAAACTCTGGCCTAGAAAGTGTAGGTGATTTTTTACTATTAGAAGAAAAACTAAAGTAAATGCCTGATTAGTGGTAGGAACTACTCTTTTGGGAGATGGCTCAGAATATTGCTTCACTGATGGCAAATTGCAAGGACAACTCCATTTTAGGAGTGCCTGGCTTACACCCAAGAAGAGGATTGTAAAAAGGGTCTCTTTATCATTGATGCCCTCGCATCTCACAAGGTTAGCCAGATTACTATTTGGTGGATTTTTCTAAGTGATTAAAAGGCAAAGCTACTACTACACACAAAGCAAATAATTGTTTTGTCATGGAATAGCACATTTTAGAACATTGGAAGAATATATAAAACTCCGGTGAACCAAGAGATCCTGGAACCAAAACTCAGCATTGGGCACATCTCTCTGGATTTAAATTAGAATTCCTGATTGATAACTCAAGTAGAAAGAAGCCACTTCTAGTCTCTTCTGGACAGACTTCCCCTATGCAGAGTGATGGATGTCAGGCCCAGCTTTGTAATTAAGCCATCAGATGATTTGCAAAGTTAAATACGTGCAAAGAGAAATATAGCATTCGAGCTACATATGGCATGTTAATGCTCTTATTTTGAAATACTTAAAATTTTCAGATCTAAAGTTGCATTTGATTAGATTTCTTTAAAGAAAAGAAAGTTGATTAGATTTCTTTGAAGAAATCTAAAATATACTTTTCTAGGGAACTAAGATATCTCCTAAGACTTAGTGTCAAAAATGTCCATATATAGGGCATTTATTGAGTATTTACTCTGTGCAAGATACTGTTTGACACTTAATTTACTCCTCTACAACATCCATATGAAATAAATTCTCCTCATTTAAGGATAAGACTCAAAGAGCCTCAATAACTTGCCCAATAATCCATTTAAGTAAGTAATAGAGCCAAGATGTGAACTGAACCCAGGTCTCCTTTTTAAATAAATCCTTTTATTTAACTGCTGTCAAACTCTTTCCCAAGACAGAGCTCCCCACAGGGAACTTTAAATAGAATACTTGGCAAAGATACAGGAAAGGAGGTAGAAGTATGGGATGATTTGCTGCTCTATACAAACCATCGAATTTCTTTCTATCCCTTGGTTTCTGTAATCTATGTGCTTTATCTCATATATTGACATATAACAATTATAAAAGAAAAAATAAATCTATTTTAGTTGAAGTATTTTGAAAGTGTTCTGTCATTTTAAATTAACATTACTAGGTAGTAACAAAGCCATTTGGATTCTTATCCCCTGTTAACACTACTCCCTTTTTAAAGCTATGAATGTTCTTTGCCCAGATACTTAACATTTTGTTGAATTTCAGTGTTCTAGAAATAGTTTACTATTCTCTAAAAAACATTAGTGCATAGTGCTGTTAGAGCCAAGAAAACTAAACAGATGATTGGTACCATTAGGAACGGCCCTGTAAGCAAACGTGATGTAGCTCACACTTTCTCAAATCTGCATCAAGAGTATTTCAGATAGTTAGCGTCATTGTGTCTAAAGAAAGTTATCACATGCTTAACAAGTCCCAGGATATGAAAATCTTCCTTAACTTAGTATTTCAACAAATGCGAATACTTTGTGTCATGGTTTCTACATGCATATTCATAAACTTTGTAGATTGATAATAGATTATGATGAAACAATAACTGGGACATGAATCCACAGGTTATATGTTACAGAGGCCAAAATGTTTTTACTGCCAGTGTCAGAAAACAAACCCAGCTGGACTGAGCCAATTTGTCAAATCTAATTTGGGCCTGAAGTGGAAATATCAACTACCTAAGTGTAATATGATGGACAAAGGTTGATCTGTGAATGCAAAAGTCAATATGGTAATAGCATGATATTTTGCTTTGGAATCAAACATACTTGCTTGGGTGGAAATCCTTGTTTTCAACACCTATGTGTCCTGAGAGCTTGGCCAAGTAATTTCCCTGAGTGAATTCTGTCTGCTAATAAGATCATGCCAATTAAATGTACTTGGAATGTTGTAGAGGCTCTCCTTTCAACATCAAAACACGCATAAGAATCATGGAGGATGAGGGACTTATTAATGTCAAATGCACATTTTTGGCCATGGAGAGCAGAAATCTCTCCTGCCCTTTCATTCTCTCACCTCTACATCTATGCAACTTAAGCAGTGCTTTAGGAAATAAATGGTGAGCAAGGGGCCATCCTTAATGTTGGAGAAAATGGTGAACACAGGACTTTCTTACTCTTCTTGTTTCTTTTTAAGACGTGATTAAGGAAAAAAAATCACAAAGTTCTCACTTCTGCAGTATGAGTAAACATTTTGATTTTGATTATGAAGCCTTCCTAAAAGGTGAAAAAGATGGTAATGAGTCTTATATATGTTTTGGGAAATTATAATATTCTATAAATTTGCCTTCATTAAGTGGAGGGCAGTTGGATAATGTTTATTTTTGTGCCACTCATCCATCATTCTAAATAGTGGTGGCACATTTCTGACAATTTACTGTACAGATGCTCCTTGACTTATGATGGGATTACATCCTGATAAACCAATCATAAAATAAAGTCAAGTCAAGCCATCCTAAACTGGGGACTGGCTGTACTTTAGATCCTAGAGAAGGTGACAGTGGAATTACATGAGGCCTTTTCTTCCTTTAACCCTTAGAGGAGTTACTTCTGTTTGAAAGAAGTCTTCACATCTGCATTTTCAAACAATGCCAGACAAATACCACTAGTCAAATAAAAGAGATAGCCACTGCTAAAATTCATCAATAGAAGGATCTCCACACCGTGAATGTAGTTTCTTCTTTTATACGTACAGGCGATTTCAAATAAGTAAACCATGTACTCTTCAGAACTGGATTAAAACCATATCGGAAATTTGACCCTTAGACATTTACGTCTGGCACATATATGCAGGAAATGAAGCCTTTGGCAAACTTTTACTAGGATCCAAATATTTGGCTCTTGTAGACAGCAGTTTCCTGTGCTTGTGTCTCATCCTGCTTTTCTGGTCCTGTGTTTTGGCATGAGGCAACCTTGCTCCCATAAAAGGTATCCGAAATATGTGGAGACTTCCCTGTTCCTGCACACAGAGAATGGATGTGGAAACCACGTGGGGTTCATCTCATAAAGCATCTGCATAAGCCGTAGGGAGATACGGCAAGTTCCACAGAGAACTCAGTGTACTGGAAAGAAAGCTACACAATGGGACCTGAAAAGACTAAATAGTTCTCTCATCTGGCAACAGAGCTGTCATGAAGACAGGGTAGCAAGCAGTGTTTTGCAATTTACCATGCTGTTTGTTCCTTTCTCTGTTTAAGGCCCGTGGAGTGCCCTGTTGATCAGGATTCTACCTCTCTGCCTTCCTCTCTCTGCAGCGATCCTCTGTCTCTACTTCTCCAGTTAGGCCCTCTGGAATTGTCTTAATGATGTTAACTACCCTGGTGGATAAGCACAGCAGCCCGCAGCCACTCCAGCCCCACTGCCTGCTGCTGCAGAACTCAACCAATGAAATCAATTTGTTGTCGACAGCTGTTCCTCTCCCTGCTCATTCAAGAGCTTATACATCATTCCTCCCCTCTTTCTTTGGGAAGTAAAGCCTGGCTCAGGTGCAGAGGAAATGAGTAGATCCGCTAAGATTTCAAACTCTTTTTTTCTTCATGGCATACCGTCTTCCTCATTGCTGTACTATCATTTTACTAGCAGATGAAACCCAGGCGAGATGAAGCCAGAGTAGAACTGATTAATCTTGGCCCACTGGAGATAGATAGTTTTCACTGGGGGCCTGCTGCAAATGGAATCCACTTAGGAAAAACCAGTTTGATTGTCTTGAAGACCCAGATTCTCTATATGGAAAAAGAAGATGCTTTGAAAGGAAACTATTATGTTAACTACTAGGCTTCTTGGCAAGAAAATAAGCATTATGTTTGTTTTTTTTTTTTTTTTTATGAGACCCTTCTGTTTTTATATATTTCTATGGCTGTAGTTCATTTCAGCATGTGCAACAATAGGTGAATTCTCTGCTTATACTTATTGAATAAAATGTGCCAAGAAATAAATGCACTGGATATGTTCAGATGGGTTATTTCATGTAACCCTGTATTAGTCAGAGTTCTCTAGAGGGAAAGAACTAATAGGAAATATGTATATGTATAAAGGGGAGTTTATTAAGTATTAACTCACACGATCAGAAGGTCCCACAATCAGCCGTCTGCAAGCTGACGAGCAAGGAGGACCAGTCCGAGTTCCAAAACTGAAAAACTTGGAGTTCGACGTTTGAGGGCAGGAAGCATCCAGCGTGGGAGAAACATGTAGGCTGGGAGGCTAGGCCAGTCTAGTCTTTTCATGTTTTTCTGCCTGCTTTATATTCGCTGGCAGCTGATTAAATGATGCCCACCGGGATTAAGTGTGGGCCTCCCTTGCCCAGCCCATTGACTCAAAGGTTAATCTCCTTTGGCAACACCCTCACAAACATACCCAGGATCAATACTTTGCATCCTTCAATCCAATCAAGTTGTCACTCAGTATTAACCATCACAAGTCCACCCCTTGTCAATTTGAACCCATGCACATCCCCTGAGATCATGCATAATCTTCAAATAGAGACAATAATGTCATAATTACACTTATCATAAAACAACTATCTTTTGTACAACTGGAAACACACCAATCCCCAACCCAAATGCTATTACATAAAGTTAACAATACTTAAATGATGATATGAAGTCAATAAATATTATGTCACATAAAGGAGAAAAGAAATAAAATGAAGATATTTTCTTGGTACAATTATATACATGCACCGACATGTTTTTAACAAAAGGAGGAAATACTCATGACAATTACAGTCCTTATTTCTGCAACTCATCACGTGGTTGTGGATGGTATTGAGGGTTACCTTCTTCTACTACCCATTCTGTATTGCCTTTGCCTTCAGCAAGCACCTCAACAGGTTGTGTTTTTATTTTTCCTGGTTGAGTGACCTAAACCTTCATTCCTGAAGGGTCTGGGTCATTTGCAGTCCTGCCTGGATTGAACTGTTGTAGTTTCCCATTGACCTTAATCACAGGGCATGGTAACACTAAGAGACACCCTAATGGATCTCTTGTATTCCATGCATACTCTTCCTTACCTCCATTGTGGAGTAGTAGACTGATTTCATCTTGATAGTCTGGGTCAGTCACCCCAGCCAACATTGTAACTCCCTTCTTAGCCTGGTGACTTAAAGGTAGGAGGAGCCTGGCGGCAATCTTAACTTTCAGTTCAATGGAATCATTATGTCTCCTGGTGGCAGCTTTCTTCCCTCTAGAAAGAACTAAGACCTCTAGGCCAGCATAATGTCATTTCATGGGAACAGGAAGCAAAAATTTTGCTAGTGGTTCACTAGGGGTGATGGTAAGTGGTGCCACTTCCACTTCCACCCCTTGATTCCTGGACCTGTGAATCCCGGCTATGGGAGAAACAGTACCATATATTGGATGCTGATTCAGAGTATACAAGGCCTTCTGGAGAACTTTGTCCCAGCCCTGCAAAGTATTGTTACCTAGTTGGTATTGTAATTGTGACTACCAAAGGCCATTCCACCATTCTATCAATCCAGCTCCTTCAGGATGATGGGGAACATGGTAAGACCAGTGAATTCCATGAGCATGAGCCCACTGCCACACTTCTTTAGCCGTAAAGTGAGTGCCTTGGTTAGAGGCAATGCTGTATGGAATACCACAGTGGTGGATAAGGCATTCCATGAGTCCATGGATGGTAGTCTTGGCAGAAGCATTGCATGTAGGACAGGCAAACCCATGCCTGGAGTAAGTATTCCAGTGAGGCCAAACCTCTGCCCTTTCCTTGATGGAAGAGGTTCAATATAATCAACCTGCCACCAGGTGGCTGGCTGATCACCCCAAGGGATGGTGCCATATCGAGTGCTCAGTGTTGGTCTCTGCTGCTGGCAAATTGGGCACTCAGCAGTGGCCATAGCCAGGTCAGCCTTAGTGAGTGGAAGTCCGTGTTGATGAATCCGTGTGTAACCTCCATCCCCGCCACCATGGCCACTTTGTTCATGGGCCCATTAGGCGATGACAGGGATGGCTGGGGAAAGTGGCTGAGTGGTGTCCATAGAATGGTTCATCTTATCCACTTGATTATTAAAATCCTCTTCTGCTGAGGTCATCCACTGGTGAGCACTCACATGGGATACAATGATCTTCACAGTTTTTGACCACTCAGAGAGGTCCATCCACACACCTCTTCCCCAGATTTCTTTGCCGCCAATTTTCCAATCATGCTTCTTCCAAGTCCCTGACCATCCAGCCAAATTATTGGCTACAGCCCATGAATCAGTATATAATTGCACATCTGGCAATTTCTCCTTATATGCAAAGTGCACAACCAGGTGCACTGCTCACAGTTCTGCCCACTGGGAAGATTTCCCTTCACCGCTTTCCTCAGGGATGTCCCAGAAAGGGGCTATGCCGTAGCTGTCTGCTTTTGGGTGGTGCCTGCATATCGTGAAGAACCATCTGTTTTCCAGGCCCTAGTCTTGTCTTCCTCTGTCAACTGATCATAGGAAACTCCCCATGAGGCCATCGATGCAGGCTGGGGGAGAGAAGACAGGGTGGCAGGAGTGGAGACCATGGGCATTTGAGCAACTTCTTCATGTAACTTACTTCTGCCTTCAGGACCTGCTCGAGCCTGATCACATGTATAAGATTTCCGTTCGATGATTGAATGCTGCTGCGCACAACCCGCTTTATGGCTAGATGGGTCAGAAAGCACCCAGGGGCAGTTCAGGTTGTGTGGTGACTTGATGACCCATAGTCTAACATTTAGTTTCCACCAAAGCCCAGTGACAGGCCAAGAGCTGTCTCTCAAAAGGAAAGTAGTGGCCGGGCACGGTGGCTCATGTCTGTAATACCAACACGGGGAGGCTGAGGAGGGTGGATCATGAGGTCAGGAGATCAAGATCATCCTGGTCTACATGGTGAAACCCCATCTCTACTAAAAATGCAAAAAAATTAGCTGGCTTGGTGATGCGTGCCTGTAATCCCAGCTACTCAAGAGGCTGAGGCAGGAGGATGGCTTGAACCCAGGAGGTGGAGGTTGCAGTGATTGGAGATTGTGCCACTGCACTCCAGCCTGGCAACAGAGAGAGACTCTGTCAAAAAAAAAAAAAAAAAAAAGGAGAGTAGTTATCTGCAGAAGATGTCAGGGCCTTGCTCTAAAATCCTAGAGATCTCTACCGTGATTCACCTATGGGGGCCTGCCAGAGGCTTCAGACAGCATCCCTATCTGCCACTGGCACCTCAAGCACCATTGGATCTGTTGGGTCATATGGCCCAAGTGGCAGAGCAGCTTGAACAGCAGCTTGGACCTGTTGCAGAAACTTTTCCTGTTCTGACCCCACTCCTAGTGGGTACTCCTAGTACCAAAATCGGTGTTAGTCAGGGTTCTCTAGAGGGACAGAACTAATAGGATATATATACTATATATACTAATAGGATCAATATTTAATAAAACTCCCCTTTACATATATATATGTGTGTGTGTATGTGTGTGTGTGTGTGTGTGTATATATATATATGTGTGTGTGTGTGTGTGTGTAGTATTGTATTGTATTAAGTATTAATCACACAGTCACAAGGTCCCACAATAGGCCATCTACAAGCTGAGGAGCAAGGAGAGCCACTCCGAGTCCCAAAACTGAAGAACTTGGGGTATGATATTCGAGGGCAGGAAGCATCCAACACAGGAGAAAAATGTAGGGCTGAGGGGCTAGGTCTAGTCTTTTCATGTTTTTCTGCCTGCTTTATATTTGCTGGCAGCTGATTAGATGGTGCCCACCCAGATTAAGGGTGGATCTGCCTTCCCAGACCACTGACTCAAATGTTAATCTCCTTTGGCAACACCCTCACAGACACACGCAGAATCAATACTTTGCATCTTTCAATCCAATCCAGTTGCTCATTATTAATCATCACAAACCCTCATTGCAGATAGTAAAACAAGTATGATAATTTGCATTGTACAAACAAGGAAATTAAGGTTTTGGATTTAAAAAATGATTTCAACTACTTTATGTTTATTTATATAAAATAAATATGTTAAATATAAATAAAAGTTTTTATTTAAAGTGTATAAATATAAATATACACTTGTAGTCAAATATATTTACATTGAAATATATTTTATATTTATATTTATTTTAATGGCTACACATTTATTTTTAAATTCTTTTGGTAAATCGGATGTACACAAATTTTCTTAGTGATTTTCAGCTTTTAAAAGTAGAATGTGGTAATTTTACAGGTTAATTTTTTTTTTTGAGATGGAATCTCTCTCTGTCACCCAGGCTGAGTGCAATACAGTGGTGTGATCTCAGCTTACTCACAACCTCCACCTCCCAAGTTCAAGCGATTCTCCTGCCTCAGTCTCCCAAGGAGCTTGAACTACAGGTGTGCACCACCACGCTTGGCTAATTATTTGAATTTTTAGTAGAGATGAGGTTTCACCATGTTGGCCAGGCTGGTCTCAAACTCCTGACCTCAAGTGATCAGCCTACCTCGGCCTCCCAAAGTGCTGGGATTACAGGCCTGAGCCACGGCAAGTGGCCTACAAGTTAATTTTGAATGCTAGATAATTAAATTTGACAGGGTTTAATCAACTCGTTTAATGGTATGATAAGGAATGTTTAGGTAAGGACAGGAAACTTACAGAATGAAGTTACAGGAAGTTAAAAGAAAAGTTACATAATGTTAAATTCACGTTTCTACCCACTGCTTTTGGTATGTGTCAATTTGTATGTGCATCTGCCCGTGTGTGGGAGAATAACGGATAATGGCAGGGGGACGAGGTGGAGAGTAACATGAAGCAGAGAGAAAGGTTCCTCTAAGACTCAGCATCATTCCTGTCTGTATCTGATGATGCCCTGCACTTTAGGTAAAGCTTAGCAGTTTCTCAGCAAGCTTCAAGTTGTAACTTTGATCTCTTTTCTGTCCGTTTTTGCTTTAGACTCTGATCAAAATTACTTATATTTTTCCTTCAGCCAGAACAGAGCAAAGCCCTTCACCCATATGCTCCTCTTGAATATTTTATGACTATATTTATGGCAATGCGTCAGTACAAAGTTGCTATTGGGGATCATTGTGCTTCTGAATGAAGGACATGGATTTAAAACCAACTAGAGGATTGTGGCTGGAAAACACATTGCTTTGGGGAGGAAAAGTAACGGCAGCACTGAAATAAAATAAAACCATAGCATGAGGTATAATATTTAGATTTGATTTAGAATTAACTTATTTTCCCACACTTAAACAGAAAAGTGTCTCATTATCTGATATTAGTATCTATGAATAATGTGTAATTAAATTGACAATATTTCTCTTATCTTTCATCACATTATGAAATACTCCCATACATGGATTCTACCAGGTTAAACTTAACTATGAAATATTTTTTATTTAAGGGACCAAGCTGATTAAAGGAGAGAGAGTGAGAGAGAGAGAGAGAGAGAGAGAGAGAGAGAGAAAGAAAGAGAGAAAGAATTGTTCAGAAAATTATTCAGAAAAATGTCAACAGGGCCTCAGGAAAAAAGGAAGGAAAAAACACAAAACTCAAAACTAGCTGTTAATCTTTTCAGCAACATTGTGCTGAAAACCACCTGCCCAAAACCATCCTAAGGGCATAGTGTCTCACGCCTGGAATCCCAGCCCTTTGGGAAGATAAGGCAGGTAGATCATGAGGTCAGGAGTTCAAGATCAGCCTGGCCAACATGGTGAAAACCCATCTCTACTAAAGATACAAAAAATTAGCCAAGCGTGGTGGTGCATGCCTGTAATCCCAGCTACATGGGAGGCTGAGGCAGGAGAATCGCTTGAACCCGGGAGGCGGAGGTTGCAGTGAGCCAAGATTGTACCATTGCACTCCAGCCTGAGTGACAGAGCAAGACTCTGTCTCAAACAATAAATATATAAACAAATAAAATGAAACCATCCTAAGGGTTCAAGCAGACATTCAGTTTATGGGGAAGCACAATGATGTGGCTGGAAGAAAACTTACTGAGAAACGGCTGAGGTAGGGAGTGAAGAAGAATGTCTGGTGTGTCCCAGTTCCCCTGTGCTGATTCAGTGGTGCATACAGACCATCCTGTCCATTTGAACAGGGTCTTTTGTTAAGTGTAGGTGGAAAGAAGGGAAGGGAGGGATAGAGGGAGAAAGGTTGAGACAGTGAGGAAATAAGGGGCTCAAGCCTCTTGGTGTTTGATGGAGCTGTTACTGAGTAAGTGGCTTACTCCATGAGGCAAGGTTTGGAATCCGGGCCTTATAAAGATTAAAAACTTGGAAAAGACATTTTGAATCTTAATTCTGATTCAGATCACAGCAAATCTAGACATTTAGCTGAATGGTGTGAGAAATGTTAAGATTGTTCCTAATTCAAAATGACAAATATGATTTGCTATTTCCCATTCCAAACTAAATGATACATTTCTCTGCATCTTGAAGAGTTTTTTGTTGCTATTGTTATTTGTTTGACTGGTTTTTTATTGTTGTTATTTCTTTCTTTTTAAAATCTTTGTGTTCCCCACATAAACACTAACACAAGTGGGAAGAGTTATAACTTAAGCCCTTATTAGAAAGCACCTTCTCTTAAAAAAAATGTTTTTTTTTTGTTTTTTGTTTGTTTGTTTGTTTTTGTTTTTGACAGAGTCTCTCCCTGTCACCCAGGCTGGAGTGCAATGGCACGATCACTGCAACCTCTGCTTCCCGGGGTTCAAGTCATTCTCCTGCCTCACCCTCCTGAGTAGCTTGGATTACAGGCACACACCACCACGCCCAGCTAATTTTTTGTATCTTTAGTAGAGATGGGGTTTCACCATGATGGCCAGACTGGTCTCGAACTCCTGACCTCGTGATCAGTCTGCCTCTGCCTCCCAAGGTGCTGGGATTACAGGTGTGAGCCACTGCGCCCAGCCAAAAAAAGTTTTTAAAAAAATACTTGTTTCATTATCCTAGACTTGTGTTGTTCACATTATTAAGAGATTGAATGGCACTTTAGAAAATTTGGGGAAAAGGAATAAAGACAATATGTTCATTGTTCTACAAACCAAAAAACCCAAGAATCAACTTTTGCTGCATTTCTTTCATTAGTTTTTTTGTTTCTTTGCTGAGTTCTGTTTGTTGTTGCTGTTGTTGTTGTTAGTTTGATAACCAAAAGACCCAAACCCTTCCACAAAGGGACTTTCAGCAGAAACAGTGTGGTAGGGACCTGTAGTAAGGGCATGAACGTCACATGGACTTGTTTGTGAATATTCACTGTGACATGCAGTGTCTGTATGACCATAAGCAAGTAACTTGAACTTTCTGAGCCTCGATTTCCTTATTTGAAAAAGAGGATAACAATACCCATTTTTTAGAGCTTTGTGAAGACTGCAGCTAATGTGTGTGCAGTGCCCATCATGAAGCCTGGCCCCTACAGCAATGTGCCCCGTCACTGACGTTTCTTGCCTCAGAATCATATTCATTGTTTTCCTTCTCCAACAAACAGCAGGAACATTGCAAATGTGGAACAAAAATGGTGAAAATAAGAATGATGGGTAGGTCCAAGGGGACAAACAGGACGGTGCTAGAAGGAGGAGTTCTGAAGAGAGGCAAAAATAACCACTGCTGGATTTGTAATCTTGACCAGGTGGTCTTCGTTTTTTCACTCTTCAACACTGTGGAATAAATAGTACAGTTAATATTTCAGGCTTAACTTTTTTGTCATCTGAGACATTCTGAGACATAAGTTATGCTTTCAAGGAGGTGTGTAACGAGCTATGAAAATAAAAAGCTCTGAATTGGAGTCATTTTGGGGGAATGTTGGAGTGAATAGTGTAACTTTCTCTAAATCTGTTTAGCAGCTCGTGGTAACAATATGCCAAATACATAAATTATGTGGTTACAAAAATCAGCTTTACACCCCTGTAATGTCTATTAACATTTGTATTAATATCAAAATGTGTACATTTTAGAGATTTACTATAAAATACATCAAACTGGATGATTTTTTATTCTTGACATTTACAACATCCTTTCAAGATTTTTTTAAAAAACAATATTATGATTCTACACTCACACCACATAATTCTTTTCTGCATTTTATTTGGTTTTTAAATAACTAAAAATTTTAATTGCTTGAGCTGAAAAACTTTAACTATAAAAGTAGTTTAATTATTCAAACAATGTAAAGATTTAATTAGCATCCTGAATTAGAATGATGAATAATGGCTAATATTCTTTGAGTTCTCCTTAAATGGTAGATATTGTTTTAAGGGCTTCACATGTATTAACTCAATTATTACAACAATCTTATAAAATAACATTATGACTACTTTCATTTTACAGATGTGGCACAATGGGGTTAGTGACTTGCCCCAGGTCACACAGTCAGCGTGATCAGTAGTTCAGGCAGTCTGATCTCAGAGCCTATGTCCTTGTCAGTATGCTGCCTCTCTGCAGTAGCATCCGTTTAGTGAATACATAGTATGTGCCAGGTCAATGCTGAGAACTTTGTGTATCAAATTGTATTTCATATAATCTAACCTCTTTAATATCTCTATAAAGAATGACTATTGTACTCATTTTACACATAAGTAAAAGGAGGCTTATAGAAATGAGGTCATCTGCTTAATTCTTGTTATTTTTTTGGTGCTGCTCACTATTCTGTTGCCTTATTTGGTATCTTTGCTGTTTCTGATGCTTCTGTTGGGGAGGCTCCCAAAATTAAGCCACCATCATGTATATCTCTTTGCTCATTTGGTCTTAGTTATATTGACTTTTTCTCCTCCTAAGTACTAATATACATTCCCCTGAGGTGAAAGGGCTCTCTACAGACAGGACTTGTAATTATTTTATAAGATTGCTCATACAGGCAGAAAAGGATTATTGATCACAATTTATCTAATAGCCAGTTCTTGAAACATTTGAAAGAAAGCCCGAGGAAGTTACATCAGAAGGCACATGAGTGGCACCAGCCAAGGAGAAACAAAAAAATCCTTCCCGACACAAGCTACAAAACCAAAATTATCCCAAGAAAGACTGCCCACCGCTTTATTAGTCCCAATTGCATTTTCGAGACCTCATGATCCAGGCCCTATGTCCATTTTAATATTTTCCTTAGTAGGTCTTTGGGTTAGGGGGAAATTAGATTATCCATGGGGCCTAAACTGGCATGCTAGAGCTTCCAGTGTGTGTGTGTGTGTGTGTGTGTGTGTGTGTGTCTATGTGTGTGTATGTGTACACACGCACACATATACACAGGCACCACAAAGATTTCGTTGTCCTCAGAATTTATTAGAACTCATTATATTTAGATCGACACCACATGAGATCAGAAAATGATTGTATTATGTATAAGGTGAGTTTAAACCTTTAAAAATAAAAATAAAGAAAGCTTTACACTTGTTAACTTCTCAAGTTGTGAATTTTATTTTGTATTTAGTGGCAGAAGATGAAATGATTCCAGAAAAAAATTGTCTTTCTAATAAAATAATTCAATTAATAGCAAAATCCTTTGAAATAAATCATTTTATCATGGTGAAAATTAGGATGAAAACTCATGATCATTTACAGTATTCCCCTTTTTCCTTTGGTCATAGCAGTATTTTGTTACCTAATTTAAAGTGGAACATTGTACCTAACAATTACATGTTTTGAAGTACCAGCCAAATATAATGAAAACTTCTGGATCTTGATCAGAAACAATTAGATTTCTCTCAAAATCACTCCTTATTAAAGATCCGAAATAGTGTCATGGTTTGTCATTACAAAGATCTGGGTTTGAACCCTGTCTCAACCAGTTTCAAACTATGCCACCGGGACACAGTAATCTTGTTCTACATAAAATAGAAATAAAATAATCTACTTTATAGGATTGTTACAAGGAAACATGATAATGCTTGCAAAGGGCTTAGCACAGTGCCAGGCAGATGCAAGCCCACAGGAACCTGTGATGGTGTAAGAACGTGGAAATGACAGTGCTTTTTCCTGGGCTAAAGAGGGTCACGTACATTTGCTGCCCTTCCAGCCATGACCCACACATCTCTGTCTTACCAGTTCTTTGGCAGTGGTTTTGAAGAAGGTCAGAACTCCTCAGAATTCAAAGAACAGCTTTGTGCACGGATGTGACTCTTAGAATTCAGGCTTTCAATGAAGAACACTGCATAAAAACATATTGTTAGCAAATTCCGAAAAGATAGTTCTATTTATCAGATTTTCAAAGATAATGCCACTTGGAAAAAAACTAGTAAACGTGTTTCCAGTTTTCTCATTGAGAATCACCCCTGCATTGTTTCCCAGACCCCAGTGATTCACCACCACCTTTTTAAATAACTTATCAATATTTACATATTATGTTTCTTAACATATTTTCACTTTTAACCCTAAATTGTTTCAATAATCTTGTTTCTGTTTAATTATTATCACCAACAAGAAACCAATATCAACTGACATAATAGAAGTTTTAAAAAGTACGTAATTATTCAAAAGAAGGTCTGTTCATGTCCCCTCACATGGTCCTACATGACATTTATTCCACATTTGGGAAATACTCAACCACAGTATCCTTCCTCACTAGTTTCAGGAACATAAAGTTGATCACAAAAGCTTCCCCACTGGAATCCAGTATTCCTGCTATTCTTTAACTGTAGCATTCAGCCTCTTTATTTTAAAGATGAAGAATATGAAAGATAGAGGGTTTAATAATATGCGCAAGGGACACACAGCTTGTTGGAGGCTCTGTATGATATACTGTGGAGAATGTACAAGAGAAAATTAGTTAACAGGTATGTAGGTATAAAATTCACCACTTCTGTGATTAAGGTCATAAAATGATAAAGCAAACCATAGAATTGTAGGGAATGAGTAAAGTGAAAAATTGTAGAACATAGTAGGACCGAGTCTTTTATATATCATTATTAAACGTGAGTTAATGGGATGGATATACTTCTTAGTTCATTGTTTTCTCATTTTCCCCTATGCCATTTTTGGTATGTGATTGTCTCAAACTGACACCTCTCTTTATATTTAATTAAGTTATATTTGTATTCAGTATCCTCATCGTGATCATGAAAAAATAGAGCTGCACTGGGCACTATGCCCCTAAGTATAATAACTATCCTGTATCTCTTGGTTGGATGAGACTTGGAAAATATTAGCCATTGATTTTTCTATCTCCCTTTCAAAGGAATCCCCACATATTCTTGGATATGGAACATGGCAAAGCCCTATGGGAGACACATGTTTTACGTTAACCTCCCCGCTCCAAAAGAAAGCAGTTGTGTTTGCCTTTCTGTCTTCCTTACCCTTCGCAGTTTCTATTAGTAAATGTTTATCGTTTTTATTCTTCTATGCTTTCCTTATGCTGGCCTTCTAGCAACTGTGAGTGAGATAAAAGAACAGGAGAAAGCTCAATTAATTTATTCATGATTTATCTGCCTGACTTTGAATAAGCTCATGTATCTCATAAGAATTTCAGAGCTCCTCCAGTTTTTTAGTTAGCCTTGAGATTCTGGAACTTTAGGTAGAATTGCAGAACTCGAGAGCCATAGGTATACCAAAACTAAAGAGGGAGCGTCATCTTCCCTTCTAGTCCCTAACTGAATAAGGGATGTTGGCTGAATCATACAACACTATCAATTTGTAGACTAAAATGGCCAAAAATAGGCAATTTTGTATAATTGAGCCTATGGGCAGAGGAAAGAACATTCATTACTACCCTGTAACTAAGGTCACTCAACATGGGACTAGCAACAAGTAGACATTGGTTGCCTATAACATACGGACCTAACTACAGATATATCTAGTTCTTGGAAGCCCAATCTTTTGATAAATGTTAAATCACAAAATGAAATAAGCAAAGATGAGATCTAAGCCAGGCAATCAAGTCTCAGCTCTGGACTAATGCAACGAATGAATGAGAATGTAGCCAATAGCTGTTGCTATATGATGAGTGAGGCTGTTTAACAAATGAATGTGCAACTTTGTAATGTGTAGCCAAGATGTAGCCCCATAGAAAACTACAGTGGAGGGCTATTGAATGTGGCAGACACACACACTAATGCAATGAATATTTTAGGGAGCACTATTGGGTAATCTTGTAGGCTGAGAGGGCACATCATCAAGATTCATTAACACCACTCATAATCCAAGGGAAAATTTCCATGCATACATTATGGGAAAGACTATTGTTTAGGATTGCAGATACACATAGCAGGAGTTGCTTTAGATTGTTTTGGGGGCGAAAGTAATATTTTTTTCAGTATTCAAATATGTCTTACGTAGTTATTTCTGATAAGGAAGAAACATTTGTTAATCCAATAGGAAACCATACTAGCTTAGTTATAAAAATTGTATTTTTTTCACTTACTTTTGCAATTTGATCCAATTGAAAAAGTCATGTATTGTGATTTTTATGACAGCATTCTCACATTTCTATCCTTTAAATGTGTTCATATATTTGGGACTTAAAGTTATATGAGAAATAATTTATTTTATTTTAAATTGAAATAGTCACAGGTATACAGCACAGGTGCAGTATATCAGTGACAATCACTGATTCTCAAGGAAGTGAAGGGAGAAGGAGAGGGCAAGCAGTAAATCCTGAGGAATCTTATGTAAAAGAATTGAAGGACCAGTGAAACAAAACAAGATTTTAGTGGTAACCATGGCAACCTCCATGGATAAAGAAGAACATGACGTTTTTTGGTCATTATTATTATTGCATTTCAACATTTATTGACTGACTGCCTGGATGGGATTGGGGCTAATCAATTTTTTCCTGGGAGGAAAAGAATAAATGGAGATGAGGTTTCCCTAAAGGGAAGCCAATGCATTCTAAGAGCTATTAATGAACTTGGGACTGTCAGATGACAAAGGAACATTAAGTTCTCTCTGTTGTACAGTGGAGAGATTTTTTAAACTTAGAGATTATGTCATATAAGGGACAGTGCCCTGACATTTGTGCCAGAGACATCTGACAGGTGAAAAAGATATATGATAAAATTAGTGATGTGGAACCAAAAAAACGCCAGAGGTTAGATTTAAGATTAATCGAGTTCTTGTTCAGAGAGAGAGCCAATAATTTTTTTTTTTTTTTTGGTGAGCTATCTTCTTGTGGAGTCCCTGGGACAAGATTTGTCTAGTGTAGCAGCATAATTAAAGTTCTGCCCTATCAAAGAACAAGTGTTTAGATACATTCTCTTCTGAACTAGTTTAATGCTTGTTCATACCCAGGCACAAGAACAAAACTGTTACAAAACAAAATAACCCCAGAATAAAAGAAAATGAAAGGCTCCTCTTCCATTCTGGGATGTTGGGGGGCAGGTCTGGAAGATAAGCAGGAAGGGGAGTAAAGTCACTGTTTTTATGTCTGGCATTGGCTTGGGTTGTTTGCCAAATGGAAACTGGGGGAGACCTCAGGAAGCTTCCAGTCATGGTGGAAGTTGAAGCGGGAGCAGGCAATTTGCATGGTGAAATTAGGAGCAAGAGAATTGAGAGGTGGGTGCCACACACTTTTAAATGACATAGTATTAGTATTACTATCTGAATAGACCTCCTTCTCTTGAGCAGGATTTCTTAAATCAATCAGCTGGGAATCTGCTTAAAATGAAGATTTTTGGTTCAGTAGAATCATGTAGATTCAACAGAATTTGTTGGGACTCCAGATTTCTTATTTCTAGCAAACTCCCAGTTGATGCCCAGGATGACTGTATCTTAAATTGTAAGGCTTAATCATGGTTGCACCACAGATCACCTGGGGTGCTTTGAAAATTCTTGCTGCCCAGCCCACGTCCCTAAACCAGTGAAAACAGCAAATCCAGAGGTATCATCTAGGGGCTGAGAACCACAGTAGCTATAGGTCAAAGGTGAACCACAGATACATTGATTTGGCTGACAAAGGTTTCACAACTTTTCTTACACTAAAAACATGGGAAGATCTCACATAAAATCTGTACCTTCAGGTTGTATTAGGCCGTTCTTGCCTTGCTCTAAAGAAATACCTGAGACTGGGTAATTTGTTAAAACAGAGGTTTAATTGGCTCACAGTTCTGCAGGCTGTGCAGGAAGCATAGTGCAAGCATTTGCTTCTGCTGAGGCCTCAGGAAGCTTCCAATCATGGTAGAAGCTGAAGCAGGAGCGGGCACTTCACATGGTAAAAGTAGGAGTAAGAGAGGGAGTGGGGAGGTGTCACACACTTTTAAATGACCAGATCTGGTAAGAACTCACTATCACATAGACAGCATCAAGCCTTGAGGGATCTTCCCCCATGATCCAGACACCTCCCACCAGGCCCCACCTCCAGCATTGGGGATTACAATTCAACATGAGATTTGGGCAGGGGCAAATATCCAAACTATATCACAAGTCTTTGTTGAAGAAACAGTATTTCCACCTGGCTGCCATGTGCTGCAGCTATGGCACTCTGTGCCTTTTATTTCTTGTTTGTTTGTTTGTTTGTTTGTTTTAGAAACAGGGTCTTGTTCTGTCACCCAGGTTGGAGGGCAGTGGCATGATTATAGCTCCTGGCAGCTTTGAACTCCTGGCCTCAAGCAATTTTCCCACCTCAGCCTCCCAAGTATTTAATACTATGAGGCACATGTCACCATGCCTAGCTAATTTTTTAAAAATTGTTTTTTGTAGAGATGTTATCTTGCTATGTTGGCCAGGCTGGTCTCAAACACCTGGCCTCAAGTGATCCTCCTGCCTTGGCCTCCTAGAGTGCTGGGATTACAAGAGTGAGGCACTGTGCCTGGCCCCGATACCTTTTAGATAGGTCATAATCTCTCCAGGTCAACCCTGCCTGGAGAGACACTTTCCCCAGTTCCTCGTTTTTCTTCATGGCAACTTTTCAGGCTCTCAGAGCCCTGGTAAGTAGATGAACTGAACTCGCCTTTTTGTTATCTATCCTCCATGTCTGTCTCCTGCACACTTGCTTTGGTGCCCTCTCCAGAGCATCATGTCATAATGTCTCCTCTTGGATGAATGATTTGTAATGTATTCTTCCTTTAAGTTCTTGACTCACACAGGGCAAAGATACTGAATTGTTAGTTTGAGTTATGTTGCCCACTCATTCTAAGATCCCTATTGAAACACTGATATGGAAAAATACTTGTGTAGGAGTCAGGAGCTAGCCTGTTTCTGCTACTTACTGCTATATTGATACTGAACAAGTCACTTAACCTCTCTGAATCTTAGTTTTCCACATTTGTAAAATCATACAATTTGGAGATTGGACCAAATGTCTTTTGAAGATGCGAAGACAGCATCAGCCACCATTACTCATTCACTTCACAAGCTCTATTTATAGAGTGTTTGCTTACTCTGTGCCAGGCACCCTTGAGTGGAGAAGAGATAATGAAAAGGCAAGTTCAGTTCATCTACTTACCAGGGCTCTGAGAGCTTTAAAAGTTGTCATGAAGGAAAGTGAGGAACTGGATCTCCACACATCTCTATTTGCCCAAACAACCTGAGTTGTGCTTGATGTTCAGGCATGATTATTAACCACAATAGTTTCACTCCAAAGTGTTCTGGTTTGGTTAAGAGATCCAAACTCTGTAGTTAGGAAAGGATGGCACTGTGAGGTTTCTGTAAGAAAGGGGACTCCATAGGATGCCACAGCTAGGTGAGTCCTAGACGTTTAGCATGATGGGTAGTACAGAGGGGAGAAAAGCTGTGCCTGCATTGATTATTCACGTGTTTTCATGGGCCAGTTGCCGGCCCCATCCCCTCTGCTTTGCAACATCTCAGAGAAGTCCTGCTAAGCATGTCCCAACTCCAGGCAGCTCCTCCACACAGGGCAGAGTGAATTTGGCCAGACTTGGGGGACTCTTCACATACTTTGTCAGCTCCAACTTCAGCAGCCCTAACAGCACAAGTTCTAGTGATTGTTTTCTGTTTCTAGTCCTTTGTTTCTGTCCTTTTTCATCTTGAATCTTGTATGTTTCCAGGCCTCTGTCTAAGATTCTGCTGCTGAAATTCTCCTGCCTTTCCTTTTTAAGTTTCTTTTTTGTTTTTTAAATCCCTGGTGACCCAGCACTTCACGGGCCACACTCATGCCTGCTGCTGCCATCTAGTGGAGGTACCACAATGTCATGATTGCCTTTATCTGATCAAAACTGGGCTAGGTTATAATTTACTTAAAGGAATTATTCAGACACTGCTTCTGGTTTGAGGGAGGGCGATTGAAGAGTGAAGATGTTTTTACAAAGTATACAGCACTTGATCTCCATTGAAATAGGTTTTTTTTTTTTTTCTGAAAATGGATTATAGAAGCTAACCCTAAAAACACCAATGTACCGGTTCCTTACTTATAGAAGCCAAATAATAGTGGTTTGAAGAGTGAATAACCCAAGGATCTGAAAGAAGAAAGAATAACCATTCACACCCTGTTCAAGCAGAGTTATATTTCTCTATTCAAATCAAGTGTGTGACATCTTGCTTCTTTCCACATGAAGAAGAGATTTTCCAAAATGACACCAGGTTGATCAGCATACTCGATATGTCTGACTTCCTAGCCTGACCTGCAGTAGTTACGCAATCTCTTTCTCTTAATAATGACTTCGAAATTTCACATTGAGAATATAAATTCCATTCTTGCACTTGCAATTGCGTATTTAAAACAACAACCTACCATCTTTCTAATAATGTTGAAGAAGAGATATTTGCTTTCTTCATATCTCTTTGTCTTCCTTGTTCCTCCTTTTTCCAAAAATAGGCATCTATCCTGTCTCCTTTTCCCTATTTCTGGTTCATTCTGATGATTTTTTTTCTCCAGATTTCTTCCTACAAAACCTTCTGTTCACCATAAAGACTCTCAGTGGTTCTCATCTACTTAAGTATTTCAAAGGGATTGAATTTATTTTTCAATTTTTGAGAAAATTTGTTCCTTGTAATGATCTCAATATATTGGTATTCCTCAATATGAATAACAATTGCCAATTAATAATATAAACAAAGCAATATCTATATTATGATGGCTATAGCATTATTATTCCAACCTCCTGAGGGTTTATCTGGAAGGCTAAGATGAATATTTTTAGGACATAGTTCGCAGAGGTCACTGGAATATTTCATCTTCTGTGATTATTTTTTATTTAAAATATGTTGGCCAAAAGCAGATTTTAGAAATAAATGAATAGTAGTTTTACTTAGGGTAAAAATAGGGCATAAATTGAACTATGATCATCATATTAAATTATACTACCATATTATGTTTGCTACATTTGGAGCTGTGTCATGTTTAATATTCCTATGCTGCAATTGTCCTGAGACCATGCTTTCCAAAAATAATACAAAGACTCTTCTGTGCCTTTTGGACTATTATGGTACCTAAATTGAAATATCAAATTGCAGATATTTGAGACTCTGGCATTTTATTGTTGGAAAATACCTAAGATAAAACATACTCTGCTCCCTCTTAATTTTAACATAAAAGAATCTGAAGCCCAGAAAGCAAACTGTTATCCAGGGGTCACATAGCTATCTTTAAACCAGAGTTGAGTCCAGTTCTCTTTGGACCATTCTAGAGTATCATTCATTTTATTTATATATACATGGATATCTATATTAATGTTATATTTTTTCCACATATATTTCATAAATTTTATCTTATGAATTACAGATCTTTCAAATATGATACCTTTCCAATATTTTCTAAAGCAGTAATTTGAAAGAAAAATTCTTTCAAGAACTTTTTAGATTTTTTTTAAAAAAGGAAAGGCAACTATGGCGTTATAATCTTAATAGGTACCTGTGTTAAAATGATTTGAACTGTTGCCTAAAATTAACTGTCTTCTTGCAAGACTGCTTTGGAGGGTAGCGTTGATTATATCCATGTGATCATGTTTACAACATATTCCTATATAGGTACTTCTTGTCATCTTCCATGAAACATTTAAATAAGAATAACTGTGGAACAGTTACATGACCCCTACTAAGATTTGTTGTTATTAATAGGTGATGAAAGACCCCCATGTTTCTCTAAATTGATCTATCTTAGTGTTTATATTTCAAGGGTGCTTTAAGATGACACCATATTGCTTTTTTTCCTGATGCATTAGACTAGCCACAGTAGCAAATAGATCCTTCTGGTGAAGTCAAGAATTAATTCCCTCTTTTAATACCCCAGAAAGATTATTTTCCCTGCTATTTTGTTCTCTAACAGTTCAATTCTGTATTACCATAAGGAATGCGGATATACATTTTTAAAATTATTTTCCTGATTGATTCTTTAATATTCTACTTACACTTTAAATCTTCTGAACAGAATACAGCCCTCCCTCCTTCCTTTCCTCCCATCTTTCCTTTCTCCCTTCCTTCTTCATATACCATTTGTCCTGGCCCCTGCTACGTATCAGGTATTTTGTTAGATGCTGTATTTCTTGAGATTTTGAAAAGATTACCTCATAGATTTGATTTTGTTTAACTCTGAGAACTATATATCAAATTCATGATCATATTCTGAAAATTATGTGATATTTTATTTTAGTCTTTATAGTAATCTCTTAAGGAATGTGCTGAAACACAAATTATTAATGTTTCTGATCATTACCCTAATAGATTGTGCTTAATTAAATTGTTCCAGTTGTGAAGAAAATGTGTACACAACTCGGTAATCAATGTTTTGTCTTTCATGTAACTACCACTATCTATTAAAAAATACAGCTCTGCTACTTTGTATTTTTGCATTTATACAAATGAGATCAATGTTGTCTCATAATCAAGCCAGTTGACATGGTGGGAGAGATTTTCTTCAGTTTTTTCAGTTGATAAGAGCACTCCAGCAACAATATTCCCATGCACTAACTGGAAGTCTGATTTAATAGAGGAGTTGCTGCCTCCACCCCTTTCGGAAGCCACAGCAGGGAGGCCTGGCTTGGGGTTCATTAGAGTCTGGTACGATGACAACAGACTGGGAAGCAGCTGTAAATGATCAGAATCAGGCCTTGGCTAGTTTCAGCTTCTGCCAAGCCCAGCGTGGTTCAAAAGGCTTTCTGGATTCCAAAGAAAACATGCCAGCCTTATACCTACTGATCACAGGACATAGACAGGATATGTGTTTCTGGATTTGAGGTTTTAGAGGAAATGCCTGTCATTTGCATCTGTCTTCCAGCCATACATATGTCAGCAGAAAATGGACACTTTAGGTGGATGTGTTTTTCATGGCAATTCCGTAGGCTCTCAATTTTCTTTAACCTTCAAGATAAATCTGCATTTAAAATATAATGGAGAAGGGACCATCTTGTAAAGGTTTTATAAATGAACAAAAGGCAGCTAGGAGCGGTGGCTCATGCCTGTAATCCCAGCACTTTGGGAGGCCGAGGCGGGCGGATCACTTGAGGTCAGGAGTTTGAGACCAGCCTGGCTAACATGGTGAAACCCTATCTCTATTAAAAAGTACAAAAATTAGCCAGATGTGGTGATGCGCACCCACCTGTAACTCCAGCTACTAGGGAGCCTGAGGCAGGAGAGTCGCTTGAACCTGGGAGGCAGAGGTTGCAGGGAGCCGAGATCATGCGACTGTACTCCAGCCTGGGCGACAGAGCAAGACTCTGTCTCAAAATAAATAAATAAACAAACAAGCAAACAAACAAAAGACTTAGAGGAGTCAGACCTATACTGGGTTAGGGTTAGATATGTACCCAAGCACTGCATTAGGCACCAGGGAAATGGAGATGAATACGAATGAGTCCTTTCTATAAGCAGTAGGACAATGTTTGACCCATCGTTGACTGTCTTTAATTAATTAAAAGATAAAAGAGCATTATATACTATGGTGATAGACATGTAGACAAACAGATTGCTAGAGATAGAGAGATATCACTAAAATGGATAGGTACTAAATAGTATGCAAGGTACTCAAATTAACCTGAAAATATAGAGACCTTGCTATCCAATTAAGTAGACAAAAATAGATGCAGAATACCCTGAATTCATTTCCATTTCCAAAAGACAAAAATATATGTGTGTGTCTATACACACACACACACACATATACAGAAGTATTCATATGCATGTTTGTCATCCATGTCACCTTCTGTTGCTGGGTAGATTTTGTTTTGTTTCATAAATTCTCATTCTGAGCACGTATAAAAATACAGGTGATTTGTGCAAGGTGGACTTACAGAAAACAGGCTGGGGAGTAAAGAGGGCAAGCAGGTGGTCTGCCATATGACTTTCTTTTTTTTGATATTTCTCTTTTACCTTTGTTATTCTTACTTTTCATTTCTTCCTGTCTCACTTAATCTCAAGGTTTGTCTGGTTGGTTGGTTGGTGATTGTTTTTAAAGCTCACTTAGAATATTTGCTTCTATGTTGCTATTGCCTGCATAGTCAGGTCCTATGAATTTCAAAATATTGTTTATTTCCCCACAGCTATTAGCTCCAAGAATAAATTAATTTGAGGATCTAAAATTGTTTTCATCAGCAATCCAGTTGCAAAGGAAAAGCAAAGAAAACATGAAAATAGGGAGAGAGATACAAAAAGAGAAGAAGGGAGAGGCAGAGAGGGAGGGAGAGAGATGAACAGAATGAGAGAGAAAGAAGCAAAACCCACAGCTCTACAGTACCGTGTGAGCAAACGCTGATGCTAAGTCTTCCTTGAGAAATTTTGAAATTGTGGAGACTTGTCCAGCAGCCCCTCATACACTAGCAAAGTTCCAAGGTGAGTTCTTACCTTGATCAGCAAAGACAACATGAACCATTTAGCACAAAATCACCAAAAGGCATGTGTGCTGGGTAGGATATATAGAATATCTGCCACCTATAGAACTCCCTCCCAAGTTTTCTTTTAATACATAGGTCACCAAGCTTTGTACCATATAACCCTGTGGCTCAGGCCACAACTGGTTGATAGGGGATTCATTGGCAAGAGCCACAGGCTGAAGGCTGATCTGTGGCCTATATGGGACCTTGTTGCAAGAGCTGCATCCTTTTAGGTGCTTACTAGAGCCCTGCTAGTGAAAGTGTGATCCACGTACCAGCAGCATTAGTATTACCTACAAGAAGCTCCAGCTTCACCCCAGAATCAAAATTTCCATTTCACCAAAGGTTTCAGGTGATTAATATTCACATTAAATTTTGAGGAGCTGTGCACTCTAAAACTCAATTGGATCCTCTTTTCTGAAAAGCTTAGATGTGCAGCATGAAGAATATCATAAACACCAGGTGGTGAAGAATTAGACATGAAAAGGAAAATAGTAAAGATGCCATGAGTCACCAAAAGTCATGAGTTAATGGAATCCATGGAGTGGAACAAATATGAGTAAAGTCCCATTAGCTGGTGGACAGAGCACAGTAAGAGTAGAGACAGAGAGAAGCTAAGGGCACATGGCCTTAAGGAGAGGGCAATGAAGAACTTCTTTGAGAGGATGACGTCTAGAATTGATGTTGAGTTAGCTGCTTTCTAACTGCTAGAACTTCTATCGCATCTGAATAGCTTTCTGTTTTCCATGCATCCTCGTTATGCAACTGCTAAAATTGATGCCATTGATTCTTACTGTCTTGAAAACTTGTGGCAAATTCTATTAACTGAGGTAATTTAGGAATATCACTAATCCTGGCAATCTCAAAAAGCCTCAATGAGTTAACTCTTATTCCCTGGTCTTGTTTCTCATTCTTTTGCCAAAGTTTAGCTTCTTGGAAAGTTGAATTTTAATATCATTTATGGCTTCACTAAATCTTGATGAAGCCATGAAAAAGAAGTATAGGGATTTCTAGAATGATGGAGGGAGGGGCTTGGCAAGCCCTCCACCCAAAAATAAATTTCAAAAACCCTCCAAATATTTGATAAAACAACCATTTCATTACTCTGGAAATTGGCCATAGGCATACAAAAATTTGAGAAACATTTATTAAGAAAAACGGCTGAACCCTGGGTAAGGGCACTATGAGTCTATAGCATTTTTGCCTGGGGCTTCTTTTATTATTTCCAAATACTTCACTGTGGTAAGTCTACCAGGAAAGGGCATACTGTGAAAACCAGTACTCAGTTGCTAAAGAGGACTGGTTTGGTTTGGAGCAGAAAGTGAAAAAAACGCATGCCCCTGTGCATTGTCAGACACAATAGTGATCTGGGTGACAAACCAACAGACTAGTATGCTACAGCTAGCCTGACAGCATGGTCCTGGTTGGGACAAACAAAAGGACAGTAGATTCACCAAAAATTAAACAGGGAGATCTAGTGAATAAGACAGCCATTGTGTGCATTGAGGGCTCATACATCCCTATAGTTCTTAAAGTCTGTACACATGTGCAAATTTGCACTCACAGTCAGAAGAGACTACAGAGCTATCTATACATCCCTTGCTGGACATGAGACTATGTTCCAGTGCAGAAACACAACAGGGTCCAGTGTGATTTAAACTGCCTGAACTTTGTTCCCTAACTGACACACAGATCCATTGGGAAAAGTAAGAGCTTATTGGCTCAACATGTTTGAGCACAACCTCTGGTCAATCACTGGTTGACCACTAGGCTATTCTGACACAGCAATAATCACTAAGAAGCCAAATTTTAAAATAAAAATAAGATTTTTTAAAAACTGAGCAGAGACATAAACACCCTCATGGGGAGAGAGAATGCACTGACTTAATCTAGAAAATCACTGCCAACAATAAAATATCAAAGTAAACAACCTCCACTAACAAAACTGGAATCCAGACTTGCTGTACTATATTACCTAAAGGGTCCAGTTTTCACTAAAACAAAATTCATGAGACACATAAAGAAAGAAAAATGTGGCCCAGACTAAGAAAAAAAGAAACTGACTCTAAGGGTCCCACATGTTAAACTTTGCAGACAGAAACTTTAAATTAGCTGCTATGATTCTGTTCAAAGAACTAAAAGAAATCATGTTTAAAGAATTAAAGTATGACAGCAATGACTCATTAAATAGAGAATATCAATATAGACATAAATTATCAAAAGAAACAAATGGGAGTTCTGTATTTGAGAAGTATAATTAAATGAAATATTCACTAGAGCAGCTCAAGAGCAGCTTCAAGATGGCAGAGAGAAGAACATAGATCAGTAGAAAGTATCTATCCTGAAAAACAGAAGAAGAAAAGCATAGAAGAAAAAAAAAACAGAAGAAGGAAAACAGAAAGAAGAAAAGAATATACAAGAAAATGAAGAGAGTCTCAAAGACCTTTAGTATACCATCGAGCATACCAATGTACACACAACAGCAGTCCCAGAAAGGAAGAAGAAAGAAAAGGGGTAAGAAAAAAAGTTTGAACTAAATAGTTATAAACTTCATAAATTAGATAAAAGAATTTTAATCTACACATTCAAGTATCTTAACAAACTCAGAGTGGAATAGACAGAAAGTCCTCCAAAGCTACATATATCATAAACAAATTATTGAAAGCCAAACTAGCCATGAGAATGGCTACAATTAAAAAAAAAAAAAAAGCCAGGCGTGGTGGCTCATGCCTGTAATCTCAGCACTTTTGGAGGCTGAGACAGGAGGATTGCTTGAACCCAGGAGTCAAGACCAGCCTGGGCAACATAGCAAGATCTCGTCTCTACAAAAAATTAAAGAAAAAATTAACTGGGTGTGGTGGCGTGTGCCTGTGTGTTCTCAGCTCCTCAAGAGGCAGAGGTGGGAGGATTACTTGAGCCCAGGAGGTTGAGGCTGCAATGAGCTGAGATTGCACCACTGCACTCCAGCCTAGGTAACAGAGTGAGATCTTGTCTCAAAACACAAAACAAAACAAAAACAAAAGATGGACAATACAATTGTTAGAGACAGTGGGTGAAACTAGAACCCTTATACACTACTACTGTTGTGAATATAAAATGATATAGCCTCTTTGATAAACAGTTTTGCAGTTTCTTAAATAAAGAACCTGACTATACTGTCCAGCAATTCCACTCCTAAATATCTACATGAAATAAAAACATATGTCCATATAAGAAGTTGAAAACAACTATTTATAGCAACTTCTAATAGGCAAAAACTGGAAACAATCCAGGTATCTATCAACTAGTAAGTGGAAAAACAAAACGTGTTATGTCCATACAATGGAGTGCTATTTCACAATGAAAAGGAATGAATGAACTACAACATAGATGAACCTCAAAAACATTACACTAAGGGAAAGAAGCCAGATGAAAAAGATTACATATTATATAATTTTATGTATTGGCAATATCCAAAGCAGATACATCTAGACAAAAAAGCAGATCAATGGTTGCCTCGGGCAGAGAATGGGAGCAGCAATTGAATGCAGTGGGCATGAGAGATCTTTTCTGTGGTGATGGAGATGTTCTTAAGCTGGATTGTTGTGGTTGCACAATTCTACAAATTAACTGAACATAAATTGTACAAATGGGCAAATTTTATTGTATGTAAAATTAGACTGAAATAAAGATGTTAAAAAGAGAGAGAGAGAAAGGGAGGGTGAGCTGCTCCCTGTCAGATGCAACTGCTTTGGACAATGGCATTGAGTGAAGAGAAAGTGTATCAATGGCTATACCCATGGGATTTTAATTTATGGAAGTGACAAAGTGATGACATGGAGAGATCCTTGTAATTGAATAAAGAATTTATCACTTACATTTTCCAAGAGAAAGAGGCACACCACACCATGTAGGGCCACACGGGGATGTGCCAGTTTGGTCAAGTAGCCAAAAAGATCCCAGGGAAGGGGTAGGAGTTTCCACGGGAAGGACAAGGTGGGAGAAGGCAAATGACTTTGAATTGGCTAGTTTGAATAATTCTGAGAGGCAGTCCTCAGTTGTCTGATACCTGGCCCTGTGTTGATTTAGGGCAGGAAGAATATTGGCTTGCTGGGTGAGAATTTAAGAAGATAGTTGAAGGTGTGGGCTCTGGGTTGGTTAGTTTGCAAATGAAAGGCATGTTCCCTGCTGAGGCCTTTGCTGTTTTTAATAATTGGACAGCTCTGAGAGGGGCAGTCTATCCTCAGTTGGGGGGCTACAAATGCCAGTGCAACAAGAATACAGAAAACATAGTTAATACAATTGGCTTTTGATGAATAGTTTCCCAATAAACAAATATGGAACCTAAGACAACACAGAAAGAAGGACAATTTAAATGGCATAAACTAGAAGCTCCTTTTTCCTATTTTTTAGTATATTTTAATAACAATAATTTGTTAGTTTGTTTCTCTTTTTTTCTGGAAGAAACAAAACAAAACAAAGCAAAAAAGCCTGCCCACATGTTTTTACCACATATGGAAAAATATAGCCATTTTTATATGTTCTTTTTCACATTTACAGCATGCACTACTAGTACGTACATTGACATTTGGCAGCAAAATTAGGTAAAACACTCTTTACCAGTAATGGATTTAATAGAGCCTTGACACATGTACCAAAACACATGTACCACATATCCTTGAATATGATAGTCAGCAATGGAGTATGCCGCAATCAAGGTTTGATTTTTATAGGAGAGCAAAGAACCTCAAATCTTTATCATTAGTCTTTATATACTTATTGAAAGAGTTTTTAAACTGATAATTTTTTATTGCTCAGACTAATGTGAGACTGAAATGTATTAATATCCCTCTTATTTGCTTGTGTACATTATACATGCAATTCATTTTCATAAAATAATTATATAAAATAACCATAACTAGTTTAAGTTTTCAGATGTTACCATCTCTCATGTTTTATTTTTAGACAAGGGCATAAATTCTACTTTCAGGTATTTGTAAAACCAACAAATAAAAAAAACAAAAAACACAACTTCAGAGATTTTAGAGTGAAAGCTTAGGGAGTTAAAGCACACAAAAAAGTTGAGCGGCATAGTCCAACAGATGTTTAAACAGATGAATGAAATGTGCCTTGTGAATTCCTAATGAATTTCAAAGAATACTGCCTGGTACTGACAAATGCAGCAGATCACCCAAGTGGCAATAGTCGCTGGAAAATGGCTGGGGAAGAAAAGGTCTACCAGGGGCAGAGCTCAAGTCATTTGTACCTTAGGGTGTCTGCTTATAGTTTTACGTCTATATTTCTAACACTCATTTAAGACAATGAGGGTTGTACCCAGCAAACATACAGATTGTTCTTTACACTTGTGTCATCACATCTTCTAGGTCTACTTCCCCTATTTCTAACTTCTTTCTCCTCCACTGGATGTTTTAACTACGTCCCTTCATCACATTTATCAAAGGATGCACAATATCTTGCTGGGAGCATGACCACTCTTTCTAGGTCTGAATAGATAGAATAACCACCACCTCAGAAAATAGACTGTACAGCTTAAGACAGATGTTGAGGCATGAAGAAGATAAATCCTCCTCTTTACAGTATGGACATTTTCTAAAAATAAAAATAGCCAAGTGAATCTTGGGACATTATGAGCTAAGAGAACATAGCACGCAGTGGATTCTTGATGCATGTCTTCTGAAAAAGAGCTACATAGAAAAAAGTTATTAAAATGGTTGGGGAGGGAGTCTGAAATTAGATGGATCCCTGGTTCTAGAGCCACAATTTTTTTTCTATTAATCTGAGAACAGGGTAAAATAAATGGGAATGTGTTGCTTAATGGATACTATGATTGAGTAGACTGGTTAAACTTATTAAGAGGGTTAAGAAATGAGACTCTTCACGTAGAAGAAAAGAGTATGAGCTTTAAAATCAGATGAAACATGCTGTGCATCCTGGTTGCCCCATGTTGTAGCTTGGGTGCTTCTAGTACCCTCTTGGAGCCTTGGGATTCTCCTATATAAAAGGATTTGGTTGTAATGATTAAAGATCACAGATGGAAAGTCCAATATATGGCTGGCATTCAATACGAGAATCTGGGAAATAAAACCACATGAAAGGAATAATGAATGATGAAAATCACAGTGTTCCCCTGCCAGGCCTTTGGCTTTTAAATAATGACTCAATCCGAAGGACCGATTTTGTAAAATACTAGACACCAGCAATAGGGGCCTTTTAGTGATCTACACGTCCCACCGTGTGGGTGGTGAGCATATTATGTGTTCACATAGAACTATGTGAATGTAGACTTAATCCTAGTGACAATTGTGTGGGAGCTATAAATAAAACAATGTTTTAAATTAATAACATTTAGTATATAACTTGGAACAGAATATGCAGACACAATGCCTAACAGTCTAATACATAAATCTCTCATAATAGACTGATGGTATTAACCATACTTAGTCTCTATATTGCTTTATCATTTGGAAGTCTCATCCATCATTTCTCTCCATCATCATGCACTTCAAAACAGGTATTAAAACCTTTACTTTATAGGTAAGAAAACTGAGTTCAAATTTAAGGGACTTTCCTAGGTGCCCCTGCCATTACCTGGCTGAGCTGTAACTCAAAGCCTGGTTTTCTGACACCAAGTCCAGAATGCTTTTCCCCAGTGCATTGCAACTGTCATTCAGAGCAGGTGTACCTCTTTAAACAATGCTAGCAAGTTTTGCAGCTGGTGCCTGGCTGCTGAAATTCACAGCCATAGCAGAGTGTGTTTTTGGGTTACTTAACCCCAAGGCAGTGCGCCTTCAAATCCGTATCACAGGCTGCAAGCAACCTTTAATCTCTCTGCTGCCCAGTCTAGTCTGCTGCCATCAGTTACTGTATCTGCCAGTTCATCATGTTCACAGTAAAGCCAAAAGACGAAGTAGCGATTGAAAGGGGGCAAACTGCACCTTAAGAAAATGGCATTTTTCTGGCATTGATAAAGGTATCAGCTGCCAGTCAGTAGAGAGTGGAAATTGTTCCAGGTTAAGGATCAGTCAGCCAAAACATGCATTTTAAATGAATATAGCAGCTACCCTGGGATAAATTTCAGTGGCAGCTGAAACACCTGCCCAGAAAGCAAGGCAATTTTTAATCCTGTGGCTCTTCTTTATGAGACTGAAATTTAGCACTTAGGTGGAAATATCTCCATAGAATGAATGCTAAACAAGCTTGAGGACAATCAGCTGTTTAAAACGTAAGATCAGTGCATACGGTATTTTCATTTCTCTTTATCTTCCTCATCTGATTTTTAGGAATTATGGGATGTTCAGATTTATGGTTTCCATGTATGTGAAGTGGAAATAGAAACTCTTCACAGATTCTAATTTTCTGATGGTTGTTTTTGTGAAACATCCTTTCAGATGGGGAAATGTCTCTTACCTGTGTGAGCAGACTAAGAATGTGCTAAATGGATCTCACTTTAAATATTAATGTCTTCATTTCTTATTTCCTTACATGTAATAAAAATGAAGTTATATACAACAAAGCAAACAGACTGTTGTAAGATATTTCAGCATGAAATTGTAATATTTCTACTTTGTGTGTGCCGAAGAACATTTTAATCACCATAAAAAAATTTCTCTTTCTTTTCCAGTTAGTTATTTGAAGGATTTGCACTACAACTCTATTTATAAAAGGCAGGAATTGTAGATACTTTCATGATAATGACTAGGGAGGAGTTTGGTATGAAATGTACCTTATGTAGCCCAGATCCTATTAAGTTGCACAGTGGTTGGCAGCTCTGGCATGACAAATTGATAAACATTTTTGGCTTGTAATGGCATTATGTGTTTGCTTGTTTGTTTGTTTGTTTTATAACGGATTGATCTTTATAAGTAGTGTTTCATGGCTTTAAGACAATATTGGCCTCAGTTTGCATTTCCTGAACTTCAATAGGGCTTAACCACAGGTGTGAACTCCTGGCCTTGACTTGCACTTGCCTACACCCAGGGACACCAAGGGACATTACTGACATATATATATATATATATGTCATATGACATATATATATATATGGCAAAACATTGGAGGATGCCATTGGCCTGGCTCTTGCTTGTATTTTTCACTTCTTGCCCCATGGACTTTATGTGCAATTACATTGTTTTGATTTATTATACTTGGCCTCTTTTGTTTGAAATGTCTACCTTTCTTGGACTGGTTCAAAGTACACTGGAAACTATATTTATGCTTACTTACTCCATTCATTTATCCATCATGACTGACTGTACTGGATGCTGTGCTGGGAGGTGGGAATAGTGTGGTGAGCAAGTTAAACTCATGAGCATGAGGTGGAATGGGAATTCCAGGCACATCAACAGGTAATTTCATTGCAGTGTGATATGTGCTATGGTAGATTAGGTGCCAAGTGCCAAAGGATCATTGAAAGTGGGCTGTGAGTACTTATTTGAGTGTCTGAGCTTGCTTTCTCTCTTCTTGGTCCCGAGTATGTTATGCAGATACTGTTTTCATTCCTAGGATATTTTCTTGAGATTTTATTCTTAGGATCTTGGTTGATGGGGCAAAGATAACCTTTAAACACAATAACAGACTCCAGGAGAAAAGGGAACAGATGCTAAAATATAATAAGGTTTAATCTGACTTGCCAACTACATGTGACTTTCAACAAGTACTGTAACCTTTCTAGTCATGATTTATCTGTAAAACAAAGGCAATGATGCCCTTACAGGGTGCTGGGAAGGGTTAGAGTTTCTATCTGTAAGTTGTTTTTTTTTTTTTTTAGCATAGTTCCTGACATATGGCAAGTCCAAAGTAATTATTGCTCTGCTGTCGTTGATCAGTGGTACTATCTACCTGTGAAAGGGCAAGCGTAAGGATAAAGGCAGGGATTTTGTGTTGTTAGTGTGCGTGTGTTTGTGTTTTAGCAGACATAGACGTCTCCCAATTACACTTTTGTATTCTCTTGTCTACCAACTGATGCTGCAGTTTTTTCTCGTCATCAACATGCCTTTAAAAGTATGTCCTGGGTGAGCTAAATTAATGGCAGCTCATTGATTCTTCCTCCTTCCCAAGGTGCCTTGAGAAGGGTGTGACTAACATCCATTGAGCATAAGCAAGACATTTCAAGTTGACTTTAACTTTGCCTGTCACACTGAAAAATGGCTCCTAATGAGTTCTTAAAAGGGAACAGAGGGACTGAGAGCACACTAATCTCAAGGCAGCCTTAGTAATTGGATGTAATATCGCTGTCACATTCTGGATATGAACACATATTACCGTGAAGTCTCAAAATGTTTAATTTGGCTTGCTGGAATCTCAATTTTAGACTGTACTTAGATGAGATTAAGCAATGGTTGTAAACTTCTTTGCCTGCACATAGTGGCCACTCAACTTACTTCTGCATAGACTATTCAATCATCACTAGAGACCTGTAAGCTAAATTCTCTTATCCCTATTACTCAAATGAGAATAAAATAATGAACTGTCCGCAGTAGCTAATTGACTTGCCAGAGGTTGCCCCAGTCAGAGTTATGCGACATGGAATTGGTAGCCAGGCCTTGTCACCCCTGGTCCATGTGCTTTAGACTGTGCCATAATTGCCTTTCATCTCTTTGCCAGTAAGCTGGTTTGTTAGTCACATTCTATCTTGTGGCGTCCTTGTTAGCCAACCCGATTGCTTGAATTGTGTTTGTATGAGGTCTTATCTTTCCCCTTGAAGTCTAACTAGGAGAGATAATTTTTCCCATGGATTAAATTAATGTAGTAGTGTGATGAGAACTTAGAATTTGAAACACCTAGATCTGCTCTTTCTCCTACCTTTTATTTATTCTCATAGAGAAAATAAATTTTCTTTCATGTAAGGAACTAGACTATTCTGAGCCTATTTCCTGAGCTTGGCTAATATCTCTTTTCCAAGGGTCATTAACCAGGCTCAAATGAGATATACACACGGGCAAACATCTTTAAGTTGACCAATGCTATACAAATATATTAAATTTGTGACATCCAGTCTTACCTTCGCCTTTGAGTGTAAATGCTTTATCTAATGGCCAGTATTTATGGTGTAGGTCCCTATCTTTCCACATATTTTACGTACATCACACACTTGCTTAATGGTAAATTCCTGGAAGATAGAAAACATGTATTTTAAATTGTGTTCCATGATGATAGTGAGTAGATAATTTCTAGCAACTAAATTTAATAGAATAATTACAATTATCTTTCGGGAAGCCCAAAACATACTAAGCATTTAAATATGGTAAGTAAATGAATAAAGAGTTTTTTTTCCAAAGTAGTCAACCCAAAGCCATATTTTAATGAATGTTCTAAATCAGTGGTTCTTAAACAGAGGTGACCTGCCTCTTCACAGGAAACATTTTGCAGTGTCTGATGACATTTTTGATTGTTACAACTGGGAGAGAGGGGTGCTAATGTGATCTAGTAGGCAGAGCCAGAGATGCTGCTAAGTATTCCATAATTTACAAGACAAGACAGTCCCTACAATGGAATTGTCTAACCCAAAATGTTAACTGTTCAAAGGCTAAGAAATCTTGCTCTAGATTAAAAACATTGCTGCTGAAACTATGGTTCTTGAGCCAACAGTATTGGCCTCCTTGACAGCTTATTAGAAATATAGACTCTTAGGTTCTATTTTAGACCTACTACAATGAGAATTTGAATTTAACAGGAATCCCATCTGATTTGCATATGCATTAATGTTTGGAAAGCACTGGATGCAAATAATACTGTTTTCTTAAAAGTTATCTTTTGGAATGGTTTTAGACTTACCAAAAAAAAAATGTGAAGAATTACGGAATTCCCATATACCCACAATCAGTTTCCCCTGTAATAAATACCTTACATTATGGTAATTTTTTATAATTAACAAACCAATATTGATACATTATCATTAACTACAGCCAATTCTTCATTCATATTTTATTAGTTTTTAACTAATGTCTTTTTTGTATTCCAGATTCTCATTGAAGATAGAACTTTATGATGTTTAGTGATCATATATCCTTAGGCTCTTCTTAGGTATGACAGTTTCTCAGTCTTGTTTTTGATGACCTTGACAGTATTGAGAAGTACTGGTTAGATATTTTACAGAAGGTTCTTCAGTTAAAATTTGTCTCCTTTTCTCATGATGAAACCAGGGTTATATTATTTTTGAAGAGAGACCACAGAGGTAGAGTACCATCTTAATCATATCATGTCAAGGTTACATACTATCAATGATGATTTATCACTGGTGATACTGACTTTGATCACCTGGCAGAGGCATTTTTGCTCAGTACTTAGTTCTACAGCTTACACTTACTTGTTATCTGATTCAAGTTCATTTTACTGGCCAATGAAGGGTCTGTCCTTCAGCAGCTACCTTTTGTTTTGGAATTCTAAAGGCCTACATTGTTACAATCACCAGATGTATTATACATGTGGAGCTGCAAATTGTACATTTATAAATGAACAGTTTTACAGATTACATGGTGGACTTTATTTACTCTGGGGAAATATCCAGATTGCAGTAAAGGACAAATCTGATTAATCAAAAGAGCTAAAAACCACCTGGAACCAACAACTAATTGGGATTTTTTTTTTTAAAAAAAAAGAGAAACCAATCCAACTGGTAGTTTCAGATCTGAATTTTGAAATATATTAGATAGGAAATCAATGTTTTTAGTCAAATAGGTAGTTGCAGAGAATGTTTCGCCCCCCCTTACGAACATGTCATGACTTTGACCTTCAGTGTGGTAGAGTGATTTTGTAGAAGCTGGAAGAGAAGGATTACAGTTCCTTCACTGGATACGCATGTCTTACAATTAGTCATATAGTAGGTACAATTAGACTATGGCTTAATGTCTTCATCAGATTTGGATAATTATTTCTAAACTGTGTACTTTGGGTGTGTTGCAAGGATAAAATGAAATAAAAGATGTGAACAAGTACTTATTTATCTTAAACTCTGCCTCACTGTAGATTCCAGCCATTACTTTTTACTACTACTTAACCAATACAAGATAGATCTTAGCTTCTCACCCCTCTCTGGCATTCCTACTTTTGCACTGTTGGCATTTCTATCTTCCTACAGTCTTCTGCAGCAAATGGAAAACTCCTTTCCCACCTAAAAACCTCAGCTTGGTATTATACTTTAACAGTAGAAATATCGGTGGATTTTCAAGTACAGTCAAAAAGTATAGAAGTAGCATTACTAACGTTTTAAAGATGTAAATTCCACTAAGCAAAGAACACCCTAAAATTTTGACCTTGCAAATATGAATATCCACTAGCAGCTTCTTCGAGGCCCTCAAGGGCAGGATGTTCTCTGAGATTTTGAAGAACCCAGATGCCATTCTGAACTGTTTGTGTTTATCTGTGTAAGTGACATGTCAAGGTACTAAGATTGAATGGTGGAAAAATAAGTGTCTAAGGATGAGTTAGATGCTAGCTTTTTATGGCCCCATAAATTTTTAACACAAGAGCTTTTGTTGAACTTGAAGAATTCTTTGTTCCTTTAAAAATGAAATACTGCAAAGTAGATTTGAGTTCCACAACAATTTTAAAATTTTCTTTTAAAGTAAATATTTAAGAATCATGTAATCATAAAATTGAACTTGAAACTACCCAGGATATATGTGCAGATGAATGCTGAAGCCACGGAAAATTAAATGGCTTGTACAGTCAGCTTCTTAGTTACTGAGTCAGGACAAAAATAAAGTTCTTTTGACGTTGAGTATGATACTCCGTTCAATCTTTCATGCTGTGTCTTATCTCCAAATAGTGCAGTTTGATTTTTTTTTTAAGTAAAATCCTATAAAAAATATATACCTTTATCTGGGTATAGTATAAGTACAGACAGTCCCAAACTTACAATGGCTTGACTTACAATTTTTCAACTTTACAATTGTGCAGAAGAGATGCACATTCAGTACATCCCTGGACTTATGATAGGGTTACATTCTCGAAGAGCATTTGTAATTATATCTTTGGAAAAATTTTAACACTAGAATTTTTTCAGATCGAAAAATTTAAAAATCACAATTCTTTTGTCTTGGGAACTATTAAAATTAGGGAAAAACTACATAAAGATTTCAAGAGACTACATGAGCAGATACAGTGTCAGATCTACTTCAATATTAGCATGCATAAAGCAACATATTTTGAAGGAAATATATCAAAATTCAATTATGGTATATACACCCTGCAACTGATTTCAACATCTGAACTAGAGTTTGTGATCATTATAAATTCTGTCATGGTAACTTTAGTGTAGGGTGTTGCTACAAGCCAGAAGGTCAAATCATCATCGTGTTTGTCAATCCAATGCTTCCGCCATGGTGAAATGCTATTGCATTTTTCTGCTTAAAAAATCTTTGTGGAGAAACTTCTCCAGGAAAGGTAGAGGGTGCTTAAAGAAGTTACGAGAGAGCAACTAAAACAGCCAAGAAGGCAAAAATTTCATGTAAACAATTTTCTTATCTTTATTTGAAATGAATGGAACCAATAAGAGGATATGTTGAAGCCTATAAAATCAGGAAAAGAATGGGTACAATAAATGTGGACTTTAAACATTAAAATCTTTTGAAGTTTAAAAGAGATAAACATGGGACAAATGAAAGCCAACATTGGTTCTAATAGTAATTCTTTGTAACTTTATCCTTGAGTGCCTGGGTCCTTCCAAACTCTCAACCTCTGTAAGTGCACTTTCACTTGTATGTTCTATTTTGGTGTTGGATGGTGACCATGATGGGCAGTTTATTGAAAAAAAAGTATCAACTTAACACTGAAGGCCTAAGAGCCAGTTTTTTATTCTTACTTAGACCATCTCAATTTTATGTTTAGTCAGTTTTGCTCTTGTTCTCTCTGATAGGTGTATTGTGAACTTATCAAAGAGAAACTAAAGCATGGAAGAAGAGAATGTCATTGTCAGCTAATCTAAAACTTTTTTCCATTTTGTAACTTCCTTTTTCTTAATCAATTTGCACCTTTATTTTTAGCCACACTTTTTATATGATACTTGTTTCAAAATTCTATTGACATTCCTCCCCTAGCATCAAGTCCTGAATGCTTATATTCTCATTTTTCACTGGCTGCCCTGATGGCAAGGCAGATGCTTAGTCCACCATGGAGAGGTGGGAGTGACTTTGCCCTCCTGTGCACTGATCCTCATTCTTCTAGGTGGAGTGGCTAGAATCCACACAGAAGTTGAGAACGGAGACCTGAGTTTTAGTTCTGGTTCTGTTCTACCAGAAATTTTGTTCTCTTTTATCCTACCAAGTTATTGAACTTCTAAGAATCAATTTTGCTCATTTATAAAATTAAGCATTGATCATTATAACCTTGAGTGTCTATTTCAACTCTAAATTTGATGACTCTAAAGGAATTGTTCTCCTGAGTCATATTACACCACTCTCATCTGTCTTCAGCCAAAATGTATTATTTTGCCTCTCATAGTTTCTTCTTTTTCACTTTACATACTCAGAATTCTGATTCTTGCCTCTAAGCTATTTCTTTCACATTTCGGCATCTGTCCCTTTACTGAATTCATAGAAGTGCATTTGAAGTTAGTTTTCTAACTTTAATATTCTTCCAAGTTTAAGTTATCCGGAGTTATTTATAGCAAAAATGTGGGAAGTTTTACTTTTTTGTCACTTTTTACCAGGAAAAAAAAAACCCTGCATATTTGCTCACTAAAGTTCACTTTTTACATTTTGTGATTATTGTGAAATAGAAAGTATTCACTAATCAATCACTTAAAGTTGGAGCACCTTGTCTAAAATCAAACTTTTCCTGGAAGTTCCAGTTTTTGAAACAATTCTTATTTAAGTGCTGTATCTTTGTCAATTCTAAAACATTAAATATTTTTAATACTAACTTACTCAAAATTTTGGTTTTAATTTTTTTAAAGCAAATCAAATTCTATTTAGAATTTGTCTAATTTAATCATTTAGCTAATTTATGATGGCAGTTCTGTTTCAAAATTAGTACTATAATAGTTTTTTAGTGACTCTATCCTACCTCCCTCATTTGTAATAGATTCAGATATGGCTACAACATAAATGACAATTTTTCAGCATATCTCTGTTCTTATACAACAAATGTGACTGAATTTATCAATGACAGTTAAGATGAGTGAAGAAGAGTGTATAATCTGAAGATACATTTTTAATGGATTTACTCAGTATAGTCATTGTACTTATAGGTGGCCTAGACATGTGGATTAAAATAAATGAGGCTAATCTATGAATTTTAGAAAAAATACATTCCTTTCACTAATTGAGGGGAGTGAAAAAGCATGTCTTCATTTATTGACAAACTTCTATTCAACTAAAAGCATTTACTTTAATAGAAAAAGTGTCATTGGTCCACAACCAAAACCAAAAATTTCTCTTTATGCTGTAGCATAGCCAACCTCTTAGTGGCCTAGAACAAGTCATTATCTCTAACAGTTCTGTGGGTTACCTGGATTCGGGTGTTTCTTGTGTGGGATCTTTCCTGTGGTTTCAGTCAGATGGCAACTAGGCATAGAGTTACCTGGATACTTAGACAGAAAGCAGAAGCTGCCAGGCCAGCACCATTTCCATTGTATTCTATTGGTCAAAGCCGTTGTAGTGCCTGAGCAGATTTAAGGATGTTGAGAAGTACCTCTTGAAGGGGACATTGTTTAAGAGCATGCAGCATGAGATATATTGTTATGGGATCTTTAGCGAATACAGCTTATTGTGATAGTTTTAAAGGAATACCCTACCATATTCCTTAATGCTGGGGTTGGCAAAGTACAGTCTGCAGGCCAAATCTGGCTCTCAGCCTATTTTTGTAAATAAAATTTTATTAGAATATAGCCATGCTTACATATTTATATGTTGTCTATTGCTGCTTTCACAATACAGTGGCAGAGTTGAGTAGCTGTAGCAGATACCATATGGCCTGCAAAACTTTAAAATATTTACTCTCTGGCCCTTTACAGAAAAGATTTGCCAACCTCTGTAAAAAAGTTTTAAAGACTGTTAGTCATCTGAAGGCGTGCATTAATAATTACATTAATTTAAATTCTTATTGGCTGTATTCATGAATTTTTTCTATTGTTTTTTTCTTCAGGCAGAATGTATCAACTCTAATAGCTTCCATGACTTCTCTGATAAAGATAATTTCAGGGAAAGTAAACTTGTTTTTTTCTTCAAAATAGAAGCTTTCCCTTCAGCCCTCACTCCTGATCCACAAATGTGGACTTTATTGTTTTATGAGGTTACTCTGTTTTGTCAGATATTACATAGGTTATAGTGGTCTTCAAACCTAAGCTTGTCAGCAAGTGGACATAATTTGGGGAACTTTAAGAGCTACAGAAGTCAGTATCCCACCCTGTAGAAATCCTGGTTTACATAACCTGGCCTGGGTAACAGACATCAGTACTTACAAATCTGTAGTGTGCCTGGAGAAGAACACTTGATAACTGTTGCACATCTTGAAGTCTTGTTAAATCAACAATAAAGCAACCCATCTTCTGTAAATTAATAAAAATACATTCATCTCTTGCAAAGAAGTGACTCGAATTTTATCTGAAAATAGACATAATGCGCTCATTGCCTTCTAGAAAAACACTGTTTTCTTAGGTGAACACAAAGTGTCTTTAGGGGAAAAAAAATGCTTTCTTACATAAAGAACCATGATCAGAGGAGGAAAAAAGAGAGTACAGGAAAAAAAATATGGCAATATTATCAAGGAAGTGTAATTATTATACCAGCTGTATATTACAGTAACTAGAAATATCTAGTATGAAAAAAGGCCTTGAAATGGGCAGGGTCTGGGAAACAGTGAGGGCATTTGCATGGAGGACTCTGGAAAGAAAAGCCAACAGAGAATTGCACCTCATCATTTTGCAGGAGGCAGAGGCTGCTGCAGTGTTTGTGTGTTGGAGGTGGAGGAATGGAGAATGAAATGATAGCCACGGCCTAAGGCAAAGGTCAGAACTTGAAGAAAAAACTGAAATATGTGTTGCCTCCCTAACCAGTTCCATCTTCTAGATGAAATTCCATATGGAACGGGTATACAGATTTAAAGCTACAATCAAGTAAGTTCAAATGAAGTGGTTCAGTCCAAGTTCAATGAGACTACAATATATAAAGAATCTGCCTTTATCTTAGGATGGTAAAAGAAGACAAAGCAAGCTCATTTCTAAAAGGCAGCATCTTGAATACTTTCTGCAACTGTAATGTCAGGCATACCAATTTGATATCTTAGATATAATTTCTGATTGTAATAGTAATTTCATTTTTAATTAGGCTGAAAGCTTCAGCTGCTGGTAGGCATGAAGTGTATTTTCTCCCAAAGTCATGCTTCTATAATGCATTATTTGTAGAGTAACAGCAATTTTGTTTTTGTTTCACAAAACAAAATACAAAGTTTGCCTTTTTCCACCCCAAAGAACTTCAAAACTAATGGAGATATTACATAAGTCAACTAATTGAGAAAGGTATGATATTTTGAAGAACTGAGCGGGCGGAATCTTGGGACTGGGTTAAAAAAATAGTCTTCATTGTTGAAATAAGGAATGATTCTTCACAGGGACAATGGTTAGAGAGTAAGAGGGATGTTACAGTGCTGTTCAGCAGAGCTTTCTGGAAGAATGGAAATGTTCTACACTAGTGCTGTCGCCACTAGCCACATGTAACATTTGAGCACTTGATATGTGGTTAGTGCAAGTGAGATGAATTTTTCATTTTATTTATTTTTAATTAATTCACATTTAAATAGCCCCATGTGGCAACTGACTACCATATAGGAGAGCACAACATAAAGGAAACAAAGTGTTCTTGGAACTGAAAATGAGGAGATGGAAACCAATTGTTGTTCATCATTATAATAATAATTCATAAAACAGAGTATGTTTCTAATTTAAAGCTTTATCGTAATCATCACAGGTGAAAATGGACATCTTTGTGTTCCTAGTTACTCATTTTAATAAAGTGTTTGTGGAAATTATGTTAATAAAAGTTAGCCTTTGATCATTATAAATATAGCCTATCAAAACTACAATTATTACATTATCAAGGAAACCATTTTTCCATACTTTAGTTTACAAAACTTGGTATAATATGCCACATATCAGCTTTAGGTTAAATATAACAACAACAACAACAACGAACAGTGAAGCAGATTTAGTCACAAGGGACACCTCATCAAGTAGTTAATTTGTAGAAAAATTTCATTTTTTCAATTTGAATGAACAGATGGCCTATTCATTAAAATTCAAAAGTAGATAATTACTTGATTCCAGTATTTTTAGAAAAAGGACATTTTATAACATTGTGTTGGGGGAAGACTCATAGGTCTTAAAATGTCTTGTGTGACTGGACACATCATTCTCCACTGTCTACAACTGCCTGCCGTGCTAACTGAATAAGTAGGTTAAAAATAGCCTTGCAGCTCTTCTTCAACACTAAAACACTCACTTAAAAAAAAAAACTGCTCATCTCTCTGAAGAAATATCTTCGCATTAACCTCTAAACCCTGCTCAAACATTCAATCAGCAAACGTTTATCTATCACTTTTTGTGCTGGATGCTTGAAAGTGGGGGTATGCATTTGAAAAGATTGCCCTTGCCCTTAAGAAGTAGAGTTCAATGGTGAATGTTCATTAATCCAACGGTCCTGAATTTTCTTCACTTTAGTGATATTCTGCAACTTTTTTCTCATTTAAGTAGTTCAATAAAGGTGGATACTTAGTAATTCGTTACAGAATATTCATATGATGAATAATTCTGTATGAATAAATCTGCTATTGAAAGTCAGTGTAATGACGTACATCCTAGAATTACCTTACCACCCAAAGCTTTTCTTTTCTTTCCTTCTTTTCTTTTAACTAGAAGTGTTCCTCCTGTTCCTAGATACATAAAATGAGAGAAGTAACATGTTTGCCTAATTTCTTTGGTTGCTGGGAAGCTCAGAGTGTGTGTTTTTACTCTGGCTTTCCTGATCTAGGAATTCTTGATCTATTTCTTCTTCAACCTTTACTTCCTAGTTCTTGATTATCTCTCTATAGGGTTTTACTGTAATTCATCCCAAACCTTTTTGGGAATAAGTTTATAAACTTTTCTTCAATTTCTAAAATGTGTTCATTTCCACAAAGCATTTTAAGGTTTCTGAAAATTGTTTTACAATTTAAGAATATAAAGTTTTCATCTGCCTCAAGAACCAAATTATGTAAAGGAAAGTTGCCACCTTGAATTTTAAATCAAAGGAAAACAACGGTCCTTGCTAATTAGATGTGATCTTCATCCTTTCGTTCAGGTTCTGCTTTTCTAAAATATAGTTTTCTCATCACACACTTCCTCCATTTTGGCCTTACACTTTGAGAAGGATGGCCCCTGCCGTAGGCATTTTCTTAGGTCCATGTTGACTATCTTATGGTTGAATACAGAAAAGTAAGAAATAGCTATGTATGTACATTCCTAAACTACCTGCTCTCAGCAGCCATTTCTCATCTGAGAGACAAACCTTTTCCTAAATCATACAAAGACCCACCCATGATAAAGAGAAAAGCCTTGTCCATGTTACAGTAAAGTAGTACACATCTGCAAGCCTCTTTCTAGAACTCTTGGCACCAGTTGTTTCAGAATTCATGTTTTCAGATTTTTTAAAAGTAATGTAGCACATATACTGTGTGTTTTATAATACCGCCAATTGAGTCTGTCACATCACCTATAGCCAAACACATTAACCTTTCTGCAAAGTCTGTAAGTGGTCATTTAGGTCAAATAAATAAAGGCCATAAGTAGTCTCATATTCATTTAGATCAGTTTTTGAAGCCAAATGAGAAAACACCTTTGGGATTTAGAGAGCATACCAGGGATTGCAAATCTAATGGTAACTGATACATCACTCTCAGCCCCACCCCAGTGCTGCAACTCTCCCAGTGACTGTATATTCAGCTGACCAACACAAGGAAGCCCTTTGGGCTCTGCACATGAACAATCCCATGAAGAACTATTAGCAAGATTTAGCATTCTTGCGAGTTTAGCTCTGACCAGTCTTCAGTAGATATATAAGAAAGAGTTCTAATGGCCAACACAAAAACCAAGATAATCAGAAATATTACACTAAACTGCTATTTTTGATGTCTTAACTTAAAACCTCCCACTGCTACATTGCATCCTATTTCCTTAACTTTAACTCTCTTCTATTATTCCACAATACATTCACCCACCATTTCCATTTCTCTCCACCTCTTCCTCTTCATCTGCAGTTTCTATGACATTCATATTCCATCTACCACATACCACCATTTCCATAACTAGACATAATAATGCACAGGGCTTGAATTTTTGCCTAATTCTCTTCTGCAGGAAGTCATAACTAACCCAGTTCCTTCCTATAATTACTCTGGATTACTTAGCTGCAACATGCCTGGGTGGAATTGCAAAAGGCTGTAATATGTCTAGTTAGAATATTCCAGTGAATGTTCCCTTATCATCTAGCACATGACCATAAAACTCAAAATTACAAATGGCTTCTCATTAATATGTATATGTAATCATTGTTCAACTCAGTATCTAATATTTTTGAGGGAATTATATCTTTGCATTGGTCACAAAAATATGTTTCTTGCTTATCAAAAGCATAGAATTAGCCTGGGTAACATAGTGAGACCCCATCTCCACACACACACATACACACACTCACAAATACAAAAATTACCACACATGGTGGTGCTTGCCTGTAATCCTAGCGACTCAGGAGGCTGAGGTGGGAGAATCACTTGAGTCCAGGAGGTTGAGGCTGCAGTGAATCCTGATCATGCCACTGAACTCCATTCTGGGCAATAGAGCAAGACCCTGTTTCAAGAAAAAACAAAACAAAAAAAGAAAATAAACAAAAAAACTTTCATCAAGTTGACATTCATGTTTTCCCATCAAGTAGGGATTTTTGTTTATTCTGTGGTCTGTGCCTCTAAATATATCCACATCTTACCACAGATGTGGATCATCTCTAAAGGGTTTAATCTATCCCTGCTTTTAATTCATTCTGACACAGTCATGATAACCACATGAAGTGTATTACTTTCCCTTGAAATTCAAACAGGTTATTTCTGAGGATTGTGACTGCATTTTCTACCTGTAGAGCTGAAGAGGCTGATCCTTATTCATTTATTCAACTACTACCAGCTTGTAATATTTTTTCAATAGCAAACAACAAACGAACAACAAGCAAAAACAGATCTGTTTCTGTGCCATTATCTTCTTGGTGCACTGAAAGCATGTCCCTGTTTGATATATACCAATGATTTTTTTAAAAAAGATAGAAATCTTGGGAGGTCTGGACACAGGTGGTGTAGGACTCATGGCAGATTTATTTGCCTTACATAAGTCTTAATTTTCAAGCTTCCTGGATACCTTAATTGTGACTGTCAGTGTTGCACTGGTTCGTATATAGAAACACATTGTTCCACCTGCTACTTACATTTATTTGAAAGTAAATTCACAGTGATGAGGAATTTATGAAAAGTATATTTTGTTTATTTTGATGTTATAAAAAGTTACACATGTAAAACTGATTTATTAAAACATGCTATGTGTCCAAAAATAAAGACCAAAATGACATTGCAGAAAGAAAAATATGAATATAGAAATCTCTATAAATGAATTTTTAAGCTACCTCACCTAATATAAATAGCCATGATGCATTGGTTTCTATTTGGTGTAATATTTCCCAGGACTTGTTTTAGTTTTTTCACCTACCCAAAACCTGCTCATTTTAGCAAATGGATTTTAGTTGTGTCAAACTTGCATATTATTCAACATGAGGTTAAATGGTCCAGTGCTAAAAATAAAATAAATAAAAAATAAATAAATAAAAATAGTTCAGTTCCTTTCGTGTTTACTCATTTTTACAGGATGGTATTAGCACAGAAAAGGTCTGATTTCACTGTTCTTTGTAATGAATAAAATACGTGGGAAATGTGAAGAACTTATGTAAGCCCTTTTGTCTTGGTCTCACTGAAGAGCTTTAATTTTATTCTTACTTTATAATCCTGGAGATGTCAACTGGCCCCATGACACTTTTCATGGACTTTATACTTTATAGAGACCAAGGACTTCAAAGTCTGTTAGGATAACATTAAAAATAAAGGCCCAAGGCTAGCAAACTTCAACATTACTATTTCCTGTGCTGCTACGGTGATGTACAGAGAAGCATGTTTTCTTAGCATTCAAGCATAATTTAAAACCACTCTGCACTAACACCGGAGTTTTCTTATAATATTATTTGGATATATTTTTATATCCCAATTTTTATGAAAAAGCCATCTCTTAGATGGAAGCACAACTTTAGTTTAACTTCTATTTCATAATTTTTGTGACTAAAATACAATATTTTTGCTTTTTATCTGTTGATAATCTTTACCTGTCTGGAAGTAGAATGCAAATTCCTTTTTTAATTTACTTTTCTGAAGTCTGGGCATAGTTAGGATTTATGAAAGAAAAAAGAAATCAGATGCTCAGATGAAAACTTCTTATTTGTTTTTGATGCGAATCAGTGAATAAACTAAAAATCTGGAAACACAGAAAAAGAGCTATGGGCATTAATACCATTTAGAGATATTTAAATTCAAAAGATAAATGATTTAGGACATGTTTGGAAGGGACATATTATTCATAGATGGTCTCAATTCATTAGGAATAATATTTTTTATAGGAATTAGATTCCTAAATTAATTTATTGCTGCTCAAGACTGTGTAGAACTCCACATCCTTTTATATATTTTAAACCTATTAGGTTTCTTTATAAAAAGTTCTTCAGTAATAGAAGAATGGTTAACATAAACGTGTTAAGAAACAAAATTTTTTTTAAAGATTCAAGATAAAGTTTATATTTTATAGTTTCCATTTAAGAAGTATATCTAGTTTATGTTTTCATTTTTCTAAGCAGTGTATATAATGTTTTCATCTTTTATAATTGGATTTGTGCTGACAGAGCCAAACATTTCCCCTGTTCCTCCTATGACCAAAGACATATTAGTAACTCTAAGGTAAGAGGCAAACCGTACGGCCAGGGAGCCAATTAAAGTTAGCTGGCAAGTAATGAGATGGAATTCATGATGTTGGACTTCTAACAAGTGCTCCAGCCAACTAACTTACATGCTTTTAAAGAATTCGACTTTGTCTTCTCTCTCTTAGGCAAATTCTGGGCCATCATTTCAGTTCATTAGAAGAGAACAAACCCAGAGAATATATATGGAAAATCTAAAGAAAATACAAACTAATAAACAGTTGCAGCTATAAAAATCTTTCAACTTTTTGGCAGAGTTTTATCCATGTTGGAAGGGATGAGATACTTAGACTGACCTAAGAGTGCTTTGTGAAGAAGCTGAGTTGGCAGTGGTGTAGAGAAGGAAGGCTGGAACTTGAATGAGTGGAGAGAAGAAACACCTTGTCTTAACAAAAATTAAAAAAAAAAAAAGATGCCCCTCATTGTGGCAAAAGCATTATAGAAGTCTAAGAGAATGGCAAATTCAATGATGAATAAAGTTAAACATTTTGTGTAAAATATTAGAAGTGTATTCAGCTAACTAGGGGTTATTAATCTTTTTTGTGCTAGGGACCCCTTTGGAAGTCTGCTGTGTATGGACCTCATTTCAGAATATTTTTAAGTGCATAAAATACACTACTTTCGACTACCAAAACAACTATTTATATTGAGAATCAATAACTAAAATAATATAAAATAAATTTGTGATTTACTAATAGGTGTTATTTCTATTTAACACATTAAATAATAAGACCTAACAGTATGTCTAATAACTACCATGAGTTTAAGGGAGTGATGAGACTAAGCAATGTTTAAAGCTATTTGCAACAATTGTCATACAGTAAGTAAACTTTTTTTTTTTGGTGACAATGTCCATAATACTCTTAAACTAACGTGATTTGTTACTGTTGTTTGTTACCACACTTCAACTAGAGGTTAGTAAAAATAACGATGTATATATTATTTTTCTTATCCAAGTTCACAGATCCCTGAGTTCTATTAGGGTAAGAACCTCTGAGCTAGACCATGAGGTTTGAATAAGAGAATGTCAGAGATGAAGACTCAAACTCAGATTAATTTAGAGAAGATCTGTATTCATGGAAATACTAGACACACATAGCTAGCAATATGAATTTGACTCCAGAGAAACCAGTTTGAACTTCTTAACAGGGGGATACTTTATCAGAATTGCATCCAATAAATTATTCTTTTCTCTTTGCAGTATAGTTTGATAGCAGAGAATCCAGGTCAACAAGGACTTAAGGCAGAGTTTCAGTTAAGAAATAGATACACTTGTGTGGATTAACTGTGCTCACAATAAGTATTTGTATCATCAATTGCATGACTTAAAGATAATTTGACGTTCTTTGAAAGTGAGGTTAGGAAGTGATGGATGGTAATTTTGGAAGGCAAAAGAGGTTATTACAGTTGGTGAAACATGTGTTATAATTGTCCAAAAGTGAATAGGAGAGAATTACTGAAGGAAGAGTGAGAAGTCAAAGCATCTCTAATTCTTAATCTTTTCATAAAAGATATTATTATATTAATGGAATTAGTGACAAATCTTATAATTGAACAATTACTATGTACCTGTGCTAATCTTTATTTTTAACAACTTTATTGAGATATAATTCACATGCCATACAATTTACCCATTTAAGGTGTTCAAATCAGTGTCTTTTAGCATATAAACAAACTTGTGCATTCATCACCACAGTCAAACTTAAAATATTCTCATTACCCTAAAAAGAAATTGTAGCTGTTATACCCAATTTTTCCACTTCTCCTAGTCATAGGGAACTCTAGTCTACCATCTGTCTATACTGCAGATTTAGCTAGTCTAGACATTTTATATAAATGGAATTATATTGCTCTGGCTAGGACTTTGGGACTATATTGAATAGAAGTAGTACAAGTGGGGATCCTTGTCTTTTTTCAGTTCTCAGGGGGAATGCTTTCAACTTTTCCCCATTCAGTGTGGTGTTGGCTGTGCGTTTGTCATAGATGGCTTTTATTACCTTGAGGTATGTCCCTTTCTATGCTGATTATGTTGAAGGTTTTAATCATAAAGGAATGGCAGTTCTGTCAAATGCTTTTTCTGTGTCTGTTGAGATGATCATATGATTTTTGTTTTTAATTCTGCTTATGTGATATAATACATTTATTGACTTGCGTATGTGAAACCATCACTGCATCCCTGGTATAAAACCCACTTGATCATGGTGGATTATCTTTTTCATATGCTGTTGGATTCGGTTAGCTAGTATTTTGTAGAAAATTGTTGCATCTGTGTTCATCAGGGATATTGGTCTGTAGTTTTATGTTTTAATTATGTCCCTTCTTGGTTTTGGTATTAGGGTGATATTGGCTTCATAGAATGATTTGGGAAGGACTTCCTCTTTCTATATGTTTTGTAATAGTTTCAGTAAGATTTGTACCAATTCATCTTTGAATGTCTGATAGAATTCAGCTGTGAATCTAACTATTTCTACAATTTTTTTTGTTGGTAATTCTTAAATTACCATTTCAATCTCACTGTTTGTTATTGGTCTGCTCAGAATTTCTATTTCTTTCTGGTTTAATCTAGGAGGTTTGCATATTTCCAGGCATTTATCCATCTCCTTTAGATGTTCTAGTTTGTGCACATAAAGGTGTTCATGGTAGCCTTGAATGATCCTTTGTATTTCTGTGGTATTGGTTATAATATCTCCCATTCCATTTCTAACTGAGCTTATTTGGATCTTCTCTCTTCTCTTCTTCATTAATCTCACTAAATGGTCTATCAGTTTGGTTTATCCTTTCAAATAACAAAATTTTTGTTTCATTTATCTTTTGTATTTGTTGTTGTTTTTGTTGTTGTTCATTTATTTCAGTTTCATTTAATTCAGCTCTGATCTTTGTGATTTCTTTGATTCTGCTGGATTTGGGTTTGGTTTGTTCCTGTTTCTCTAGTTCCTTGAGGTGTGATCTTAGGTTGTATATTTGTGCTCTTTCAGACTTTTTAATGTAGTCATTCAATGCTATGAACTTTCCCCTTAGCACTTCTTTTGCTGTATCCCAAAGGTTTTGATAAGTTGTGTACTATTATCATTCAGTTCAAATATTTTTTTAATTTCCATCTTGGTTTCATTATTGACCCAAAGACCATTTAAAATCAGATTAATTTCCATGTATTTGTATAGTTTTGAGGGTTCTTTTTGGAGTTAATTTCCAGTTTTATTCCACTGTGGTCTGAGAGGACACTTGATATAATTTTTACTTTGTTAAGTTTATTGAGATGTATTTTGTGACCTATCCTATGGTCCATCTTGGAGAATATTCCAGATAAGAGAAAGAAATAAAGGGCATCCAAATTGGTAAAGAGGAAGTTAAACTGTTGTTGTCCATTGATGATATGATTGTATACCTAGAAAACTCTAAAGACTCATCCAAAAAGCCCTGGATATGATAAATGAATTCAGGAAAGTTTGAGGATACAAAATCAATGTACACAAATCAGTAGCACTGCTATACACCAACAGTGACCAAGCTGAGAGTCAAATCAAAAACTCAAACCATTTTACAACAGCTGCTCAAAAATAAAATGCTTAGGAATATACCTAACCAAAGAGGTGAAAGATCTCTGCAAAGAAACTTACAAAACACTGCTGAAAGAAATCATCAACAGCACAAACAAATGGAAACACATCCCATGCTCATCGATGGGTAGACAAATATTGTGAAAATGACCATACTGCCAAAAGCAATCTAAGGATTCAATGCAATTCCCATCAAAATACCATCAGTGTTCTTCATAAAGCTAGAAAAAAACAACCCTAAAATTTATATGGAACTAAAAATGAGCCTGCCTAGCCAAAGCAAGGCTAAGCAAAATCGCAAATCTGGAGGTATCACATTACCCAAATTCAAACTATACTACAAGGCTACAGTTACCAAAATAGCATGGTACTGGTAAAAAAAAATAGGCCATAGACCAATGGAACAGAATAGAGAACCCAGAAGTAAAGTAAAATTCTTACAGCCAACTGATCTTTGACAAAGCAAACAAAAACATCAAGTGGCAAAAGGACACTTGTATTAGTCTGTTCTCACACTGATAATAAAGACATACCTGAGACTGGGTAATTTATAAGGAAAAGAGGTTTAATTGACTCACAGTTCCACATGGCTGGGGAGGCCTCATAATCATGGTGGAAGCAAAAGAGGAGCAAAGTCATGTCTTACATGATGGCAGGCAAGAGAAACTGAGAGCCCAGTGAAAGGGAAAACCCTTTATCTAACCATAAGATCTCATTAAACTTATTCACTACCATGAGAACAGTATGGGGAAAATCACCACCATGATTCAGTTATCTCCCACTGGGTCCCTCACATAACATGTGGGAATTATGGGAGCTACAATTCAAGATGAGATTTGGGTGGGGAAGAACCAAACCACATCATTGTGCACTTGACCCCTCCCAAATCTCAGGTCCTCACATTTCAAAACCAGTCATGCCTTCTCAACAGTCCCCCAACATCTTATCTCATTTCAGCATTAACTCAAAATTCCAAAATTCGAAGTTTCATCTGAGACAAAGCAAATCCCTTTCATGTATGTATGCATTCCCATACATCCTCTGAAATCTAGGCAGAGGTTCCCAAACCTCAATCCTTGACTTCTGTGCATCCACAGACTCAACACCACATGGAAGCTGCCAAGGCTTGGGGCTTGCACCCTCTGAAGCCACAGCCCAAGCTCTACCTTGGCCTCTTTAGCCATGGCTTCAGCAGCTGAGATGCAGGGCACCAAGTCCCTAGGCTGCACATAGCAGAGGGTCCTTGGGCCTAGCCCATGAAACCATTTTTTCCTCATGGGCCTCCAGGCCTGTGATGGGAGGAGCTACCTCAAAGGTCTCTGACATGCCCTGTAGATATTTTCCCCATTGTTTTGGTGATTAACATTTGGCTCCTCATTACTTATTCAAATTTCTGCGGCCAGCTTGAATTTCTCCTCAAAAAATGGGTTTTTCTTTCCTATCGCATAGTCAGGGTGCAAATTTTCTGCTCTTTTTCCCTTTTAAAACTGAATGCTTTTAACAGCACCTAAGTCACTTCTTGAATGCTTTGCTGCTTATAAATTTCTTCTGCCAGATACCCTAAATCATCTCCCTCAAGTTCAAAGTTCCACAAACCTCTAGGACAGGGGCAAAATGCCACCAATCTCTTTGCTAAAACATAGCAACAGTCACTTTTATTCCAATTCCCAACACGTTCCTCATCTCCATCTGAGACCACATCAGCCTGGACTTTATTGTCCATATCACTGGCAGCATTTTGGTCAAAGCCATTCAACAAGTTTCTAGGAAGTTGCAAACTTTCTCACTTCTTCCTGTCTTCTGAGCCCTCCAAGTCTCTAGGAAGTTCCAAACTTTCCCACGTTTATCTGTCTTCTTCTGAGCCCTGAAAGCTGTTCCAACCTCTGCCTGTTACCCAATTTGAAAGTCACTTCCACGTTTTTGGGTATCTTTACAGCAGCACCCAACTCCTGGTACCAATTCACTATATTAGTCTGTTCTCATGCTGCTAATAAAGACATACCTGAGACTGGGTAATTTATAAAGAAAAGAGGTTTAATTGACTCACAGTTCCACATGGCTGGGGAGGCCCCATGATCATGGTGAAAGTGAAGGAAGAGCAAAGTCGCATCTCACATGGTGGTGGACAAGAGAGAATGAGAGCCAAGTGAAAGGGGAAATCCCTTATAAAACCATCAGATCTCATAAGACTTATTCACTACCGGGAGAACAGTATGGGGGAAACCGCCCCCCATGATTTAATTATCTCCCACTAGGTCTCTCCCAAAACACGTGGGAATTGTGGGAGCTTCAATTCAAGATGAGATTTGGGTGAGGACACAGCCAAACCATATCAACACACTATTCAATAAATGGTGCTGGGATAATTGTCAAGCCACATATGGAAGAATGAAACTGGATCCTCATCTCTCACCTTATACAAAAATTAACTCAAAATATATCAAAGACTTACATCTAAGACCTGCAACCATAAACATTCTAGAAAATAACATAGGAAAAAAAAACACTTTTAGATATTGGCTTAGGCAAAGAATTCATGACAAAGAACCCAAAAGCAAATGCAACAAAACCAAAAATAAATAGATGGGACCTAATAAACTAAAAAGCTTCTGCACAGCAAAAGAAATAATCAGTATTTTTTAGACAACACAGAGTGGGAAAAAATATTCACAACCTATGCTTCTGACAAAGGACTAATATCCAGAATCTACAAGGAATTCAAACCAGCAAGTACAAAACCAAATAATCCTATCAAAAAGTGAGCTAAGGACATGAATAAACAATTCTCAAAAGAATATATACACTCTGCCAACAAACATGAAAAAATGCTCAACATCACTAATTATTAGGAAATGCAAATGAAAACCACAAAGAGATACCACCTTACTCCTACAAGAATGGCCACAATAAAAACAGTCAAAAAACATTAAACGTTGGCATGGATGTGGTGAAAAGGCAACACTTTTACACTGCTAGCAGGAATATAAACTAGTATAACCCCTATGGAAAACAGTATGGGGATTCCTTAAAGAACTGTAAGTAGATCTACCATTCAATCCAGCATTCTCACTACTGAAGATGAAAAGAAGTCATTACATGAAAAAGACACTTGCACACACATGTTTATAGCAGCACAATGTGCATTTACAAAAATATGGAACCAGCCTAAATGTCCATCAATCAATGAGTGGATAAAGAAAATGTAGTATATATACACTATGGGTTACTACTCAGCTGTAAAACAAAATGAAATAATGGCATTAGCAGCAACCTGGATGGAGTTGGAGACCATTATTCTAAGTGAAGTAACTCAGGAATAGAAAATCAAATATGGTATGTTCTCACTTATAAGTGGGAGCTAAGCTATAAGGACACAAAGACATAAGAATGATATAATAGACTTTGGGGACTCAGTGGGGAGGGGGAAAGGCGGGAAGGAATAAGAGACTACATATTGGATGCAGTGTACGCTGCTCAGGTGATGGGTGAACCAAAATCTCAGAAATCACCACTGAAGAACTTATCCATGTAACCAAAAACCACTTGTTCACCAAAAACTATTGAAATAAGATAAAATACCAAAAATAAACAGAATTATATAACATGTGGTTCTTGTGACAGACTTCTTTCACTTAGCATATTTTTAAGCTTCATTCACGTTGTAGCACGTATCAGCAGGTCATTCTTTATTATGGCTGAATACCATTCTATATTTTGTTTATTCAGTCATCAGTTGATAAAGCTCTTCTTACGCATTAGTCTACCATCTTCCTTGACTGCCAAATAGAGGATTGTTCAGCAGTTTTTTCTTACCCTCAGTTTTTCCTTATTCTTGAGTCCTCCTTATTTTGTCCTCAATGGTGCTGGAGGACAAAGGTCATCATTCTCTGTCTGGGTAGCGACTTTCAAAGCAAGTCCTCTCACCCCCAACCTGCCCCAGGCCATTTGTATAATTGCTTTTGAGAAAATAAGTTTAAAAGCATTCTTTTTCATCTTATTAAGCAGATGTTTAGTATTTTTTGCAGGGTATGTGGTTATTCTTCATTTTAGTTTGTTCTTTGTTTTAAAACAATGTGCAGGTAGATAAGTGCTTGTTGTACACTCTGGAGAATCCTAACCTCATAAAATGGGAAAAAATACATATATCACATCAAGCGCAGATATTTTAAACTGTCAAGTAACAATTCTCATGGTAGGAAATGTATTATACCACTGGGTGAAGTAAGTTATAGTCCAGAAATGCTTTTAATAAGTGGAGTAGGAGGTTGATACTTTGAATTATTGTTGTTTCTATTTTCTGGATGTTACATGAAATGAAATTAAAATGTAGTCCTAAGGCTTTCACACAAGCATGCTCACAGGAATAGTGACTAACATTTTGACTAACATTCCAACATATTCATCAATGAGTATTTAATAACCCTTTTTTTTTTTTACAACCAGATATGGTATGAATTAAATAACTGTTCCCTCGATTAGTTTATGCTAATATTAACAGAAAGCTTCATCACACACAAAGATCTTTCACATAAATTTTATATATTAATACTGTGAAGCAGGTAGTTATTATTCCCATTGCATTGTTGTAGAAACTGAGAGCCAAAGGTTCAAAGCATCCAAGAGCAGTGAAGCCAGGATATCTGCTAAGAACTTTGTGTATTTTGTTTCCTTTTTCTGCCTAAGAGCCATGACAAAGCTAAACAAATGGACTTAGAAAAAGGACATGTAATCTCTGATTGAAGCAACATCTTGTTGACAGTACAGTTGTCCCTTGAACAACACAGGATTGAGCTTCACGGGTCTACTTATATGTAGGTATTTTTCAACCAAACATGGATCGAAACTACAGAAACCCACACATAAGGAGGAATGACTGCAACACTTGAGTATTCATGGACTTTGATATACATAGGTGTCATGGAACCAATCCCCAGGTATATTGAAGAATGACTCTATTCACTTTCTAATGCCTTGAAATTTAGATGAAATTGGATTTAGTATTCATTTGACATCTTGTGAAATGACCTTAAGATACATGCAAATTCCTGAGTCCTTAGTTTCTCACATTAATATAATTTGCACAATTACTCCAAATCTCCTGCCTTTTAACTTTCCTCATCACTCCTTCATCATATCCTGACCCCTCTATTCTTTGACGTACCTAAGCAGTAGATCTTCCCTCAAGCTTTCATCTTCCCCCAAACCCCTCACACAAGAAATTAGTATGAAACAGACTTTACTAAGAATTTGGAGAGAGGGGTAGGACATTTATTCTGGCAACAAATAATTGAATACTGTATATTAGACATCCTTTTTACCAAGTCTTTCAGTCTCTGAAGTATGAGACTTTCCCACTGGCTTCTTTCTCTGTAACCTCTAGCTTCTTCATTTTTCCTGTATGTTTATGACTCTGCTCTTTTTCCCTTCTAAATTTTATGAACCATGACCTAGAGGCCTGCTTATCCCCACTTAAAACTGCTTCTCAATGTATTTTATTTTTTATAAGAAAGAAAATTTTCTCTTTAAAAACTACTCAACGTATATATTCTTTGTCTTGCTACATGTATTATCTAATTCAGTTATCATAACCCTAGGAAATAAGATACTATTATCCCAAATATGTAGTGAGGTAATCCATGCACAGAGAGTTAGATAAGTTATCTAAGTTTCCACAGTCAGTCAATGGTGGAGCCAGGATCTGAAATTCTCAAGTATGTGTGGAGAAAGGATGTTATTCTAACATCAGTAGAGTGTCTTCATAAGCTTAGAAATTTCTGTAATTACTTCTAATTTCAGGTGACATCTGCTGTGGAAAATTATTCAGTAAAGTAGCTTTGTGGCTTTATTCAATCTGCTGGCAACATGATTTAGTTAAATATGCAACCTGATGCTGCCCTTTTATCTAGGTTGTAATTTACATTTGGTGGAAGTTAATATGATAAATAGTGGAAGTCAAAGTTTTCCCTTGAAATATAGAGTATTTTGTATGCTCATGGATTTTTGTTTACATCAGGACTTCTCAACTCTGGCACTACTGACACTGGGCTGAATAGTTCTTTCTTGTGGGGGCACTATCTTCTGCATTATAACTGCAGCCCTAGCCTCAACCCACTAAATGCCAGAGGACCCCCTGGTTGTGACAACCAGGAATGTTTCCAGATATTACCAAATGTACCCTTAGGGGTAAAATTGCCCCCAGTTGAGATCTGTTACATTATATTACATACTCACCCAAGCTTAATATTAAAACATAACAAAAATAAAAATCACATTAAGACTGCCCACAATTCTGATAGTGATTGTAGTACTCTTGCCATTTTCCTGCCTCTAAGCAATTACGGAAATAGCCATTCATTCTTTAGGCTAATTGAAGGTGCTCATGTATTATAGAAAAAACAATAGAGCAAGAATGTATTATACATTGCTGGAATTAAGCTTAATACACTTGACTTAATTAGGACAATTAAATTATATGTTCAGCTCTCGTTTATTTAGGGGATGATTAGTCTATTTTCCTTTCTTTTTTGTGGGTGCACACTGGATCTATGGCCTGTCTTTAGCTTTCCTCATTACTGGAAATTGAAATCAGTCCACAAACACTTATCTAGTGCTTGACATGTATTTTAAGTGCTAACATTTCAAAAGATAATGCACAGAAAGCTTATGGAATCATGATGCTGGGGAAGGATGTTGTGAAGTCCTTTCAGAATCCTGTTCATTGTCAGATAAATGGTTGACCCATCTACAATAGGTTTAGTATGTTCTCTTTTCCTTAATTATCTTCAAGGACAGAATTGCTGCAATATAAGTTTCTCATTCCAGACTTTCATTCTGATGGTTCAGATGATTCTCTATATCTAAATATTAAAATTGCTTAAATTTCAGTCTGTTTCCTCATATAAGTTTTCTTTGTGAATATGTATGTATGCCTCATGACTTCAGAATCAGAAACAATTCTGAAGTTGAGATACCTTGATAAGTATATTGACTCTTTTTTTGCATAAATGAGATTTTTAGTTTTGGATAGCTTATTTATGTTTTTGATTCACAACCAAGAATAACTATAATGGTTTTAGTTCATATGCAATATGTATTATAATCTGTTGTAATTTAGTATAACGAAAATTGTTTCAAGTGTATTTATAGCAGTCATGACCAGAAGGGAAATCAGATTTGCCTAATCTAAGGAGAAGCAAAGATCTTCACTCATGTAGCTTCAACCTCAACTAGACTTTTCCATCTCACATTGTTTCATTCCATTTGGATAACTAGTGCTTTTGAGCACCCTGTAAGAATTATTTCTATGATGATGTCAAAGAAAAGTGACCTCTTTGAATTAGAAGCTTGGTTCTAACTAAAATATTCTAACAACATGATGGTCTTAGAAACTATGGATACAAAAAGGTTTAGAAAAAAAACCTAATACATATATATGTGTAATGAGAAACCACTAAGCAAGATACATAGCCAACTAGGAGTAAAACAAACTAAAATAGGGCCGTTTCTCACAGGCTTTATTCAATGTCCAAAGAATGATTTTCAAACATCCAGATTAATACTGTGAAGAGTTAACACATCATCTAGGGGGCAAGAGTTCAGATCCAGAGAGACTTTATCTATTCAGATTTGAAAGCAATCTTAAACTGACAACTGATAAGGCAAGGACACACTGCTATTCTTTAATTCAAGAACAAAATTGCATCTCACAGTGGGGTCATCCTTTTCCTTCTTATAGTGGCTTAAGAAAGACATATATAAATGACTAACAAGAAGTACAGGTTTAAGGGAGATATCTAAGTTTATAGTCTGTCCCTGGGAATTGGATGGCTTTTCCCCGTAGGTTGCCCCATGGCAGCCTCATCAATTTCTACTTTCTTACTGGGTGACAGCACCCCCCATCTAAAATGACCCTGCAAGGCAAGTCTGATATAATAGTATGCCTAATCTATTAAGAAAGCAGATCCACAGATGAACCCCATCTCCCAAAGGAAAATACATCCTTGCTGGTGACAGCACAGCTCCACTACCAGAATATTGAAAGTTCCTTTTGAATCTAGCAACTGTAGAAGCCATTATGAAAGAATATGTAATGTAAAAGCCACAAACTCCAACCTACAAAATCATGAAGGTATAGTCAAACAGATTACAGAAGGAAGGAGATAAGAGTTCTTGTCTAGACAAGACCTTTGTTAGAACACCTGGTTCCCTTTAATAGTCAATCAAGTTGTCCTGAATGTTCCAACCAAGATTTCTGGAACTAAGCACAGTGATTATAATTAGGTTATTGCCAGCATTCTATTTCTGCCTGCCAGTAATAAATCTCTAAGCTGATTCTACTTATCATGAAAGTCCTTATGGCACAAAACCAGAGGTTAGTGAAAAACTCATAAGGATAAACAAAGCCGGGAGGTTCTGAGTCTCCCTCTAAACTCAGTTTCTTCCATTATTTATAGGGCCTTATAAAAGATAAACACAGAAGTAGATATGCTATAATGGATCCCTTAATGCTTAACATCTTCCAAGGGTGGTATGTGTATAGTGGTGCCAAAAACCAGATGATTGATTGCTTCTCAAAATGACAAGGTTTAGGACTTATGACTCAGCTCATTCCAGAGCATAAATGGGCATGTGTTACCTGAAGTAAAATTTAAAAGTGCATTCAAGTTACCATGATACATCTTTCAATTATTCATGACAATGCCAGGAGCGATAAAAGAGCTAAATAAAACTATAAATAACCCTTTAAACGTCATTTTAGCCAACTGTTTCAAATCTTCTCTCATACAAACAACTTTAGCAATTTAGTAGAATTCAAATTAAAATGATTTGAATTTTTTTTATATTTCTTCCTTATGAATATGGTGGTAAGAGGACACGATGAAAATTATACCAATCTAGTAATATATTTTTAAAAGTAAATATAAATAGTAAAATGCACAGAAGCAGAATATATAAATTACCACATTTGGGTTATCATTTGTTCCCTTAGTAACAGACCTAATAGCCTCTAGTAACTGTTGGTCTTAGAGAAATTAATAGAAACAGTCTAGAACTTAGTAAGGTGCTTGGAAAACAACTTTCTGATACTCTTGAAAAAGGAGTCTTTGATTTGAAATCTAACATATTTGAAACTGAAACTAAACTGAAGTATTAAAACAATCATGAATAAATGCTAATGAATGTCTTCTGTTTTTTTTTAAAAGAAATAGATATCACATTAATCAATGAAGACCATCAGTAAACTCATCAAAATGCATTTCTAAAGTTAGTAGCAAACTGTAATATATAAAAACCTCCAAACTGAGCTGTTTCTAAATTTGGTGTGTCTCTGGCAAAAGCATGCTGTATATTCAGCCTACCTGCATTTTCCCTATTTGTTTTACCCTCTTTGCCACCTAAATAATAACATATAAGTTCATCTACTTTCTATGCAAATGGAGTCAGTGTAAAACACATCTCAGAGGTAGCCACAGAATGAAAAAGAAGAAAAAAAGACACAACTCCTTAAGGGAGTATAAAACTAAAGGAATGGCCTCATGACTACCTTAATACTTTAAAGGAAGAAAGGAAGTTGATTAGGTGAGATTAGGGGTCACTGGGTGTACGCAGAAAGCTTTTATTATTCTTAGCTTTCTTAGGTGAACCACACATTTATACTTGGAAATCATTTGTAAATGTGTAATCACTTCTAATTTTGCTACAAGACGGGTGAGAGGCCTAGTAAATTAGCTTAACCAATTTCACATATCAGACCAGTAACTCACTAGACTCTTAGAAAATTGGGATACTTCTAAATGTCTCTGAAAGAGCCCTCATTAAAGTATCCAGTGTGTCCTGCCTCCTTGAATTAGCCATTCCTCGTTCACATAACAGGTGTGAGAAAGGATACCAAATTATGACTCCAGGTAACAAAGTACAGACACTGTGTTTTGTTTATCATTTATGTCTTTCTGTTTACTTAAAAAATGCAGTGCTTTTTGGACGGGGTGCGATAGCTCACGCCTGTAATCCCAACACTTTGGGAGGCCAAGGTGGGCGGATCACGAGATCAGGAGATCGAGACCGTCTTGGCCAACATGGTGAAAACCCATCTCTACTAAAATACAAAAAGAAAAAAAAAAATTGCCTGGCATGGTGGCATGTGCCTGTAATCCCAGCTACTTGGGAGGCTGGGAGGCTGAAGCAGGGGAATTGCTTGAACCTGGGAGGCAGAGTTTGCCGTGAGCCAAGATGACACCACTGCTCTCCAGCCTGGCTGAGCGAGACTCCATCTCAAAAAAAAAAGCAGTGCTTTTTGGATCATTCTCATCTATCATATGACATCACATCCCTTACTTTTTTGACTGTTGTGAGTATATTGAATTTCCAGTGTTTAACTTAGCCTGGAAAAGATGTTTTATGTCAAAACTGCTATTTCTCAAATACAATCTGGCTAAGTGATTTTTAGCTATTCCAATTAATGTGAAATACAACCTTTTGTTACCAGCACTGATTATTCATATATACAAATAATTTATATACATATATGTATAATTTATACCTACCTTATCAAAAAAATAAGTTAAACATGAGAAAATTAGGCAAATATAAGATAAGATCAGGCCGGGTGCGGTGGCTCACGCCTGTAATCCCAGCACTTTGGGAGGCCGAGGCGGGCGGATCACGAGGTCAGGAGATCGAGACCATCCCGGCTAAAACGGTGAAACCCCGTCTCTACTAAAAATACAAAAAATTAGCCGGGCGTAGTGGCGGGCGCCTGTAGTCCCAGCTACTTGGGAGGCTGAGGCAGGAGAATGGCGTGAACCCGGGAGGCGGAGCTTGCAGTGAGCCGAGATCCCGCCACTGCACTCCAGCCTGGGCGACAGAGCGAGACTCCGTCTCAAAAAAAAAAAAAAAAAAAAGATAAGATCAGGAAAATAAGTTTGAACCAGAAGTGAGCTTGTGCACAAATTTTAAACTTTGGAGACTTACACAATTCTGGCTGTAATGCCATATGAAAATAGGAAACATAATTTGTTAGAAAATTAATTGTCAGTAAATTGAAACCCATCAGTGTTATATGAGCATGGCTTTTCAGGAAAGAAGTGGCAGTACAACTGAGTATGGTGGTCGTGGCAGTGAAGGGATATTCACTCTTTCCTATGGGGCGAATATCTTATCTTTACAAATTAGTTCTGATGTAATGGGTCCATAGATTTCCTTTAAGAAACCACTGAGCTAAAACAATAGTCCTGATGTTCCTCCTTCTTTAAAAAAAAACTCCAAAACTGTCTGGTAGAATTCTTAGTAGTGGTTTTACTCGCATGGCCCATAGGTTTCTTTCTACTGAAAATGTTTAATTATTAAACCCAGAGAGTCAGAGAAATAGACTTGTACAAATCATTTATTTATGAAAGTTCTTTAGGCTTTATTCCTTTTGCTTTTAGATCTATTAGTATAATTGACACTAGATCTATAGGTCAAGAAAATTTTACAAAGCATTGCAAAATTGTTACATATTATTCTTTGGAGTCTCTACCACTAGGCTGTGAGGGCTGAAGAAACATCAAATGTTGGCCAGACATAGACAAATGGAGAAAAGTACAAAGCCATTGCATTAATCTAGGAAGATTGGTATGATTTTCTGAGCTTCTATTTTCTTCTTTGGATGTGATCTAAAAGGTTCTCTCCTCAACCCCCCATAGAGAGGGAATCTGAAAACAAATTCTTTCTCCACTGGGCAAGGGGAAATTAAAAACCTCTATTACCCTATATTGTTCTTGGTTAGTTTCTGTAGTAGATGATGGAATATTATGCTTCAATGTCATCTAATAAATCATACCTCCATATAAATTATAAAGAAATTATGCCAGTGATAAGAGCAAGCATTTATTAAGCATTTGCTATGTGCAGGGCACTGTGTTAAGAATTTTACCTGCTTTATCTCACTTAATTTTGACAATCATCCAATGAAATAGGTGCTTTTATTGTATCTATTTCACTGAGGCAAAGAGAAGTTAAGCAATTTGCCCAAGGTCATAAGGCCAGTAAGGAACAGAAAAGAGAACCAGAACTAAACTTTTGGTCTATCTTTAGATGATTTATAAATTTTTTAACCTCTGTGTGGTATTCTGTCCTGTCTCTCATTCTTGAGTGGTAGATGAAATTTCTAGGGGCATAGGTTTGCCACTGAAAAAAAGGAAGGAAAATGCCATGGGAACTATCTGAAGCTTATGAAAAGATGAATTTACCGGACTGATTTTGATGGGGAAGAATTTTCTTTCCTACAGTCAAGAAGTGAACCATGAGAAAGCTAGAATATTTGGCCGTACCTGTGTAAGCAAGTCTTTTTAAACCTTTTGAGTTGTTGAATTTGTTCATTCCTGACTAATTTCTTTACATACAGAGGGGCATGCATACACCAGTCAAAAATAATGAGGAGATTTTTATGGATTTTTATTCTAATTACTGCAGAATTCTCTCTTCATTGATACCATTTATGTGAAATGGTTTTCAGGGTAGGATAATGTCCTCTGAAGGGTGAATCACGTACCACTAGTATATGGATTAAACTTAAAATTTAAAATATATATATTTAAGATTTTATCTCCATAGTATTTGAAAATAATTAATCAGCACATTAAACCTCAGTTGTTACAAAGATTATTGCCTAGATAAAACCAGGTTGATTTTAAAAGGGAAGGAGTGAATTTAATGTCAATACTCTAAAAGGTTAAATATTGCAGGTAGCACACAAATAAAGGAACAATTATGAAATCAAAGTATAAAGGCCTGAAGTTTGGCAAACACTGGAGGAACATAGTTCCTTTCAAACACAAGCTAACTCTCTTGCCAGGCATTAAGCTTCTCTTCTGTAGACTGTGGATAAATAACTTGGAGAAAAATAGGAGAGGAGAAGTCAGTCAAGAATGGATTGTGTTGCCTTTTTATTTCTATCTTGATTGTGTTAGGCCATGAAATTCTTAGTCTACATAGGTATGACTTTCAAAAATATGTATTTTTTTCATTTATCTCATGAATAACATTTGTTTTACTTGCAGGTAACAATATATACCCAGTATGTGGTGTTGCCTTAGCTTTTACTTCCTTTAGCATTTCATTTTCCAAGTCCTTTATCAAACATAAACTGTCATAACACAGCTTTCTTTTCCCTCAACCCTTGTAGTTTGTTTTTTCCTACAGTTAACATTGCAGAGCTAGGAAGCAGATAAGACAGTCTTGGCCAAGTCAGGCAAGATGTTTTAAATAAAAAGATACCATGAGCAGAATTAAATAATGGCAAAGGGTCAAAGTAATTCCCCTCTTCATAATAGCTGCCTTACTAATGAGAATTTTCAAGTATGAAGTGTGCTGTAGAAAATGTACCACTTACTCAAGTTTTCTTTCAGATTCAAAATTACGTTAAAATTGGAATTACTGTGGTTTACTAATAACAGATTTGGAATAATATTATGTTTGCCTGTTTGTCTCTATATTTTCTTGTTGTTTCTTTGGATCTCATATCAAATCTTTTCAGTAGTAAATTTAAGAAAATATGTACTTTTCTTAACTTCCATATTTTGTTTTATTTCTTGCGCTGCCTCGTGGTGACTTTGTTTTAATTGGTAACTGCATTTTTACAAATGAGCCTAACACTCCTCTTCACATTAAAAATGCAACAAATGAAGCATGAGAAATAATTTATATAACATGTTTTTCCCTCCTCCTTTTTAGATGGTAAGGTTGAAGTTACAAAAGAAGGTGTGAAGTTGTGTACCATGGGTCCAGGAAAAGTGTTTGGGGAATTGGCTATTCTTTACAACTGTACCCGGACAGCGACCGTCAAGAGTAAGACTATTTTCATATTTTTAAAATATTTTCAATGTCTTTTCCCTAGGCCTTTGAGATGTTGTTTAAAATGCCCATTCATTTAATCTTTATACTTTTATTTCTTTGTATTTTAATTTTTGCCCTGCAATATAGCTGATGTATTTGTTTTCCTACTAAAGGTGATTGTTAACAATCAGTTTTGTATAATTACATTTTCTTGCTGACTTCTGAAAATTATCCTTTAATCAATAACTTCTCATAATTAGGATTTTTTAAATCATATAATTTTATACATTTGAATCAAATAAGAGCAAGTCCTTTTCTCTCTTTATAGTCTCAGGATCATATTTAAGAAATTTTTACATGTCTGTCTATTTTGGGTTATATTCTTCACATAAATTCCACTTGTTTACTCAGTGGTTTAGAAAAATTAAGAGAAGAAATGTCCTTCATCTCATTCAAACATCATTGAGTAAGATATCTCCTGAATTCTAAAACTGCATCTGAGTATATTTTTGCCCTCAGCTGCTCATCAAGCTGTATATTATAGCATTTATCTTTTCTACTGATTGAGCTTATTTTAAATCAGGGCAATAAAGCAGCTTGTTTCCCTAATTTTACATGTATGTGTATATATGATTTCTCTAGCAACTTTTATTGCTTGGCAGAAGCAGCTGCAATAGTTAGAAGGAAAAAGATTTTTTTAAAAAAAATCTGCTTCCTGAATAAGTATATAATGACTGTATAACAAACAGAGCTGAATTCAAAAGTCAACAATGTAAGGTTCATTGCATCTTTAGGCAAACGTGTGTATTTCATGTTTGAAAAGTCCTTCTGACACATTTTCCTGTGGTTGATTTCAGTCACAGATTACTTTGATTAGGTTTTGTCATTTAAAAAAAATGCTATTGGCAAAATGACAAGTACATTGTGAATTTCAATTAGTTTTATCTGGATCTCGTTGACTACTTTTTGTATTAGTTTTTTCCTTCAGAAGTACAGCATATAACTGAAAATACAACAATGAAATTGGATTTAAAAAAAACATAAGAATGCACGGCCAACTGGAGTCCCAGAAATTGTCTTATACATCTTATTAGTGAAATCACCTTTTTATTCATTGGATTCACTGTAACACCAATTGCAAATGGGCCCCTTTTAGGATGAGTCTTCCTTGGCAGTTGATTCTTGATCTCTGAAAGCATAGGACTCTTTTGATTGATAGATGCTGCCATGTTTTTACTTCAAGTGATCATTCAATTACATAGCTCAAAGAATGAGACTCAGTGAACCATAATAGAATCTGCCACAACTTTTAACTTACTTAAAAAGAACCTTAACTATAGAAAGAATAGTCATGGCTCCATTAAGTGAAACAATTTTTACAATCATGCTTCATTTTCATGAGAAATATATTCCTTTTAAGATAAAAAAGACCAGAATAGCATATTTTGATGATATCTCAGTATTATAAGTATTTTTTTGTTTTGAAGTATTTAAAATTTTTAAATATTTCAGGCTTGTACACTGCTTGATACTTTAATCTAATTGAAACTACAAAATTTCCAAAAGCCAACAGTTGGTAATAACATGGTAGTTAATCTTATGAAACATGGAATTTTTATTAAAGAAATATTTTAAGTAGTTTATTTACATGAATTTTACAGCAAAGATTTTTAATGAAATGATTTGTTTGCTTCATAAACATCAGTTTTCTTATTAGAGTTCTATATAATGATGTTCGTCTGCACTAACATCTATTGTACTCTGATTTGGCAAATTTAAATAGACACTGTGAATCTAATTCAACAAGAAGAAACTAGATGTTGAATGCAAATTATAAGCCTAACTCTTTTGGGGTCAGAACATCCATCTTCAAAGAAAATGAGTAATGGGACATGTTCTTCTTTAACACAGACTCAGAGAAAGCTCAAGAATGCATCCGTGCATGTGTGTGTGTTTGTTTCTTCACAGTGCCTACTTAAGATATAAAAGTTGTGTTGACAAAAGAGCCTAGAGTTGGTGATGTGCAAATATATATCTGCATTTATAGGTACAGAGGTTTTGTGCATGAATCAGAAACAATATCTGTGCGCAACTGTTTCTTCCAAATGTTTCATAAGCACTATGAAGCATGAATAATGTTTGTTTATTGTTTCAGGACTTTTTTGTCCTGCCACCTCTGCTATCTAGGGAGATTGTACTTGTGACTGTAGGCCTCAAGCACCATTTTTTTCTATATATTTAAATTAAACCTTCAGGCTGGATATGTTATGATTCTAATTAGATCACATTGTGGATGCTACTTTTACAAAATGACTATGTAATATAACTCCCAATGCTGTCTTATTCTTTACATGTGATAAAAACATGTCTTCAAATTTATTTGGTTTTTAAGGTTCATTTATTTCTTAGTATTCAAGATTATATCAACTTGTCCATATTTTCCTGTCGTCATGTCATTTGGAGTATCAAATGACAAGAGTATTGACCATTTTGAGTATCATTCAAAATGGATTCATCCACTTGGGCGTAATAGTCTAATTCTGAGGGGAATATTTTTCTACACAATAGCTGACCTATCCATGCTTCTTCTTTCTTACATACCTCGGCTTTTGACCTCCTTAACCCTAACATCACCCACTTTCCTTCATGATTGAAAATGTTGATGATCCTTTCTCTTTTCTATTTTCCTTGATTAGCCTGAAAGTTATCTGGCATCTTAATGCATTTTTATTTTCACAGTGGTAACTAAATCCTAGGTAGCATTCAATAGTTTTTCAATGTACATTACTTGTTTCCTGTTTAGGAGAGCAGTTTTTACAATTGTATCAGGCTGTTAATAAATACATTTCAGTGACTTCATCAGCTAATGAATATGATCAGTACACCTGTGGATTTTTTCTAAGATTAGGTTATCAAGAAGTAGTTTTCTTACTAAAGCTCTAGATTGACATATGCTATAAAATATGATTATGAGCTTGTTCATAGTGATCCAACAGAAGGAAGCACCATGGTAGTTTGAAGCAAGCTCTTTGGTTTTCATCTGGGAAAAAATAAATTGGCATTCTTCTGAAAATAAATAACATTTATTTTCAGTGGTTACCACGATAGCACTAGGAGGAAGATCTGATAGCACCAGGAATAATATTTTTAAAAAATCAAAACCACAGTGATATAGAAAGAAAAAAATCGTGGTATGATTCAGATCTATATTCATAGTCTGCTCCTGTCTTATAAAATAACTATTGATTTTTCCCTGAGGAATGAAGAAATAAAAATATATAAAATTAACATTATATTGGAAACAAAAATTTAACAACAGTCTTGAGTTTGTTCATGGCTTAATAGCCTCAAATTTTCTTTATTAACTGTGATCTGAAAATGACCACTTTGTATCTTTCCAATCACAAACATTCCCAATGGCATGGGGATGGGGAAAGAATCGCTTGTTATAGTTGGTTTCCACAGTACCAATTAATGTTTTCAGTATTGTTTGATTTTTTTAATATTTTATCTAAATATTTTGAAATTGTATAGTGAAAGGAGTTTTGCCATCCGTTTTCAACCCCACAGGGGCAAGAATGTCTCACATGTTGTTTGAATACCCCTTACTTACTCAGTTCCCACACCTGGAAGCAGATCATTATCACGTTTTCCTAAAGTGTCACTCCCGGGTGTGATTTCACTTTTACTACCCTCACAGCTATAGCAATATCAATTTGCACTTACCCTGGGCCTTGCTTCTGTGCCCAAAGTTCTTCAAAATAACAAAAATGGAGAAGTTGAAGTTACTGGAAACTTAAAAGGAAAAGGCGTTTCATTTACAATGAGAGGGATTCAGTGACACATGTTGAACTCAGAGTACTTTTGCCTGTAAACATTAAATTGAAGCCCTACTTCTCTTACTTTGAGTTTCAGCTCTCAGTGCCTCCAGACCTTTGGTCATGTACTATTCAAATGGTCTCATTCAACTAAACTCCAATGAAACCCAATAAAAAGCACTTTTCAGGAAAACATCTTGGTGCCTGGTCAATATAATCACCACAGAAAGTTATCTACAAAGAACGTCTATGGTGGGTGTGGTAGATATTTTATGACATTACTTGGGCAAAATATCTGACTAATTATTTCTCCTTAAATTGTTAATAACAAGTATTTAATTTTTTTCTTTATTAAAATACTTCATTATTAATGCCAAAGAGCCTAAAAAGCCTACAAGAAATCTGACAAATTGATGACTTTAATAATGTTGGGTAAAAAACTATTTTTCTGCCTTGGTTTGAATCTTTTTAAGTTTACATACTTAAACTTTCCTAGGATATTAGTAAAGGGGAAGTTGACTAATTAAGATATTTTACTAAGTGTCATAGATGTTTTAAGAGCAAAGTTTAAAGGTCTGGAGTTTTGTGTTTATTTTTGTTTTTAAAATAAATTTGAGTCTATGTAGTGAAATGTCTTTACATTCCCTTGCAGCTGTTTTAAGCATTACATTATTCAAACTGTATCAGAAAAATCTGCTGACTGTCGAAAACCTAAATGATGAATGAGAATTAAGTAATAGGAGATTCAACTGAATTTTTTGCTGTAAATACTTTTACATGCTATAAAAATAATGCCTATACCTAATACATATGATCTATATCTCATTCATCCACACTATGCTTTTTATTGGTAAAGGAACAAAAGACAAGAATGCCAATTTTTACTGTTAATGAAAAGGAGTCATTGATGAAGTTCTTATAATAGCTGCAAACCTGGGAAATTTCTTAAGATGCCTAAACCAAGAAGTAAGCAATCAGATACTTTTTTAGAAAATATCATTGTAGAGCACCATGAAGTATTAGATTTATGATAAAGACACATCCACATGTGAAAATGAAGCAACACTGTCCATCAGCACAAACAATTGCTAGAATACCATTATTCCTGGGTTTTCATGAGCACAAGTACCCAGGTACTGTCATGCTTGCTGTGCTATAGCAAAAGAGCAGAAGAGATAACTGGGCTAATGAGACAGTCTCTGTTCTGCCTTTGAGAGGTAAGTTGAAGAGAAGCATGTTTGTTTTCTCCCAGTTTAATACATGATTTTTACCAAGAATCCTGAAAGAAGGGGAGAAGACACAAATTAAGTTTGGGCCAATGATGAGTGGAAACATGACCCTGGTTGTGGAAGGGATAGTTAAGTGACTTCCCACAAATGTTATCATCGCAGACAATGAAGCAAACATAGTATATTTTGGCAGCATCTTGGGGAAGTTGTTACACTTGTGTAGTGAGTTAATTAGACAATATTCTTCTTAGTAAAATTTTCATTGCATTTATCTATTAAAGAATATTGTGAAATTAGTAACATAAATCCAATTATGTAATCCCTGAGAAATAAATTAATTTCTTTAATAAAGGAATCAATTCACTAGGTATCAATGATGCTACATAACAGACTAACATGAACAAATGTACATACAAAAGCCATGTTTTAATCTCATTTTTTTTGTTGTTTAAGTAGACGAAAAATGAATTTCGGAGAAGAGGCAAACTATTATTGAACTATATTTTTTTCTACAGGTTGAGAAGATTTTTTTCCTTAGGCTTGAGGGAAACTGTTACAATCAAAGTGTATTTATAATTTATATATAACTACTTTCCCAAAAATTCATGTCCAATTTCTATATTGACCAGGCCTGGTAGATAGTCATACATTAGCGGTGCTTCTGAGGCAAAAGCTACCTTCCATAGTCAAAGAAAGGCAATAAACTTAATTCCTTCTGAAGGCTTGATAAATTATTCTCCCTCTCCTTTTAATTACTAAAACATTGAATACTTTGAATATTCTCTATTTCTAAAGAAGAGTCAGACTTTAGCTGATAGAGTGTTATGTTTTAAAGATCACAGGTAATTTATGAGGAAATCTAAACAATAGGCAAGAAACACTGATTTTTTTTTTTTTAGCTGTTTTTGTTAGTTAATCCTGCAGAAGCAGCAGTTTTCCCACAAAAATCTGCACCATAAGAAGCTCCCACACATGTAAAGCTTGAGTCAGTTTTTGGTGTAATGAATCTTCATTCATTCATTTAACAATTTGCTTAGAGGCATTTTTAGTATTTATTCAACTGATTTGAGGAATAAAAAGTAAACTAGTAACATAGGCCAATACTGTATTTTCTGTAATCATTTTTCTTAAAGGAAACCTTCCTGCCTATAGGTCAGGGTCAGGATGAATTCCTAATGAATGTTTCCACAGTAACAATAAGTAATAAAAGCAGATAACATTTGAAGACTGTGAACAACACATGAGGCTCAGAGCTTTAGGGATGGGTGTTGTTGTTACCCCCATTTTATTGCAAAAGCAACTAAGACCTAAAGCAGTTAAACAATTAGGCCCATGTTCATAACTAGTGAGAAGGAGGACCATAAGTCTGACACTACTTTGCTATATTGCTCTACTATCACAAGCTTTTAAATTTTGCCTGCAATGTTTCATTTTGCTTTTAAGCACCAGTGTATCTGTAAGACTACTTCTATTGGTCTGAGGACTCCGCTTTCACAAAAACTTATACAGCATGTTATGGTTTCGAAAATTTTTAAATATTAGCACTTGGACCCATGTTAAGTACATCTGTTGTAAAAAGATGAATTCTGTAACATAATGATGAGAAGGTCATAAGTTTAATGCCTTAGAGACATACAATGGGCAATCAGAACCTATTGCAGGATCTACTTTTTGTAATGCATTGAAACCCTTATGGATGTTTCATGAGATGAAACTTCATGGTTCAGTGTTTGAGACATTACTAAGTAGCTACATTTTTTTACATAAAATATGTTAGTTAATAAATTTCTTCAAAGGAGGAATTAGGAAAATTTAAACAGCAGCTAAAGACAATGAATGAAGACTGGGAAAAAATTATTATGTTTTGTTATATAACAAAATAAAAGGATAAGCTGAGTCATGACAAGTGTGTTTGCCTTCATTTTCCCCTTCAATTTCCTCTGACTACTGAGGAAATGTAACCTTAGCACTTCGTTGGTGAATCTGAAAAGACTGCTTTGCTTATGAGATGTTCTTTGTTGACTAAATTTCTAAGTCATCATGATAATAATGCTTTATAATTTACAAACTGTCATCCCATGCAGTCATCCCATGCATTATGTAATGTAATCTTCAAAATACCTCAATCTAGTAGATGAAAGAGGTTGTCCCTGATTTTCCAGTTGAGAAAATGCAGGCCAGGATCATGAAGTGCATTAGTGTAGTTCATTAACAGAGTCTCTGATGCAAATTTAGGTAGCAGTAATTTAAAGCCCTTGCTATAAGCACCTCTCCTTTACTCCTTCTGCTCCCTACCTCTATGTGTGGACTCCTGAATAAGGCTCTTAATATGCCTACTACCCATACCTAATGTATGAACTCTTGGTAAGGGAACTTCAAATGTTTACTCTAATGTCTCTCAAAGTGTGGTCCCTGGAACAGCAGCATCAGCATCACCTAGGCCCTCATTAGAAATGCAAAATCTGTGGCCCCTGCTCTACTGAAAGGAAATTTTGGGGGTGGGTCACAGCTATCCGTGTGTAACAAGGCCTTCCAGGTAATGCCCCTATAGTTTGAGGACTGAACTATACCCTATAGCTGCCCAGTTAGTGTTAACCTACACATATGCATACTATCATGTTCATCAAATTGTCTATATTGAGGAATTTAAAAGAACATTACAGACACTATAATAAGTAGTCAGTGTTATTATTGGCATCATTGCAGCTTTATTTTTGTTTTGTTGCTGTTGAGCAGAGATATTTAAGGAAAGTTGCATTTTTCTTTTAAGGAGTAAAACACAGCCTTAGTAAAGAGTACCAGCTTTCTACATATTATTAATATATTCTTTTGAAGAATAGTGAGAAGTAAAATTAAAAGAAGAACAGATTGAGAGGGAGGGAAAAATTAAAAAATCATGGACTGTCGAGCCATGTTGTTAACAAAAATCACTTTTAGATTTATTAAACTTGATGGCTAGGATGTTGGTAGAAAAACAGAACAAAGAAAAAATTTCGTTTGATTTTTTGTTGTTCCTTTTCCTGGTCATGAGTGTAGTTTGGATTAAGTGATAACAAAGGTGAATGGACATTTTTAAGAAAACAACTGAGTTGATAATGTCTTCATACATTACAACATCAAAATACATTTCTCACTAATGTATTAAGTTCAACCTTTTGTACTCATAGTGGAAAGGTCTTTGGTACTTTCCATAGGTGGCCATTGACTTAATTCATAGTGTGATCCAGGTAGTCTTAGGTGGGTTGCATAACTCTTTGCTTTCAATAGTTAGAAGATGAAAAGACATCCATATATCACAGTCATTGAGAAGGAAATGGGAAGTTCCTTGGAATTGAGACCTGTAGAGATCGGAGGCCTACAGTATTGAAGGATACAGGCAAGGACGTGAGCCAGTCAATATTTGCAGGAGTCCTGAAGAATTGAGTTTTCACTGTGAAGGTGACAATAGATCCTAGAGAATAAATATTGACTTCTCAGAAGGCAGGTAAAAAAAGATTCAAGAAGCAATCTGGGGTAGCTGAACATTTTCCTTTAAAGCTAAGTATTCTTTACTGCTTGTTTTCTCTAAAGGAGAAACAGTCTGCCTCATTGATAAATACTCATGTTATACCCTCATAATTCCTTCCACTTCCAGAAGAGCAATACTTTATTGACCTGAAAGTATGGTTGTCTATAACCTTCTGAGTGGGATCAAACAGCATTGTTTAAATTATCTTCCTAAGTGGATTATTTGTTGTTGTTGTTGTTGTTGCTTTATTTCTAAAGTAAAATTTCATAGAGTACTTCTGTTTATGAAGCTTATAAGAACAGACTTTTCTGGTTACAGAATAGGGGAACAGCCTCCAGGAGCTCCATCCAGTTGCCCTAAATTCCCTTGCTATTCATTCGCTCTCATTCCTCCCCCTGGATTAAGTTCTTCTCTGGAATTTTTGAGTTCAGGTCAGGTAAAATAGTTTGAAGACCACTTTTCTAGTTGAATCCAGGGTTACTCTGAGTACCTAAGTAATGATAATTCTTTATCAGCTGTATACTATGTACATGCCGCTTGGCTATGTGTAGAATCTCTAACCTTTACAATAGTCCTGCACTTTAGGGATCGATACTACAATTGCATAGGTGAGGCAACTGAGTTTTAAGGAGCTTAAGAAACTTCCTTAAGGTCACACACCTGGATTTCTAAACTATATCTCTCTCCTTGACAGTCACCAGCAAAACATTGAACTACATCATCTCAAATGTTGTTTTTGGCAGTTGATATATGAAAATTGAATTTTAGATCTGCACTGTCATTTATCAAGAATTTCTAAGACTCACACCAAATTCATGTGAGGTACTGCTGAACTCTCTGGGGAGCATCACTGAGAAAGGGGGCATAGCCCTACAATTAAGATATTTATAATCTAGTTGGAAAGAAAGGAAAGACAGAAAGATTACAAGGAATTCTTGGCAAACTAGATCGAGACAAATAGAAGAATTTGGAAGGAAAGAAAAATTATTCTCGACTCTCATGGATGGGTTTAGTGGAGGAGATAGAAACTGACCTGTGCCAAAATTAAAGAGAAGAATAGTTCCGAGCATTTGTGTCCAGAAGCATATTGCTTGGGTTCTCATCCTTTGCCATTTACTAGCTGTGTGTCCCTGGGAAAACAATTTAATGTTCCTGGGCCTCAGTTCTCTTACCTTCAAAATTGTAAGGACCCACCTTATGACTGTGGCAAGGATTAAAGAAGGGAATGCCTGTGATGTGCTTAGTGCGGCAACGAACATAATGGAGTCAGTAAACACTTACTGTTCTGTAAAAGTTGTTATCCTCACAGTTGGTGCTATGAAAGCAAGAAATAATCTGGAAGGGAGTTCGAACTTTCGTCATTTGCCGAACCTGAGGAACTAAGAGCACAATTTGAAACCCATAGATACAGAAGTATAAGAAAAAAGGGCCACGATCCAGAGACTGGAGGTCCTGGCAGGATCCCAGACCCTAATTTTTTCATCACAGCCCTTACTTGGGGAAGTTGGTTCATATGCATGCTTTGAATTAACTTGTACATGAGGCACTGATACCAAAACCAAACTACAGGTAAGGATATAGTGGCAAAGATTGAATGACACAGGCTGGGCATTGAATTCAATGCTTCTGTTTGGAGGTATGACTTTGGTCTGTGAAGAGGTAAAGGGTATTCATCTGTGTTGTCCCATAGTCCTGTTGCCATCACTTCTCTCCTGGCCAGATTTCTTAGGACTTCATGACAAGTGTTTGTGTATTTTGAGTCTGTGTGTACACAGACCTGAGGAGGCGCCAAGTATATCAAGGCTTTGGACAAATTACGAATAGATGGCTATTGAGCATGCCTTTAAAACAGTAACTATTTTAAAAAGTACTATTTCAGACAAATGACAAAAGTAGATTGTATCTTAAGATGCAGCCTGGAAATTCAAGACTTGTGGTGTTCAATTTATCTGTCTTCTTTAATTGCCTTAAGGAAGAATCTGAATCTATAATCACCACATTCCTTCTGGGTAAAGCTGCTGGTGATGGCCATAATTTTTATAAGAATGCAAAAACTGGCCCCCTTGATGATTCAAACTACTTCTGGCCAAATCCTTGACCAGATAGATAAAATTGTATTGTATAATTTTATATCCTTAATTTATAGACAAAATCCTTTTATCTAAATTTTGAATTTACCAATTCCCAGTTTCCCTAAAACTGTAGTGAACCAAGTTCTTGAAATTGCTCATATTCATTGCCTTTTATTGTCGTTTAATACTGTGAGGCAAAAATCTATCAATTTAAGTGCAATTTGTCTCTGACACACAACCAATAAAAGTTATCCATGAAGCTTAAGCATAACATGAAGCAGAGTGAGATACTGAAAAAAAAAAATGGGATTTTTACCAATGTGAAATGGCCCAATCTACGTGGAACCCAAAATGTAATACATGAAGTTTTGAGGCTACCAAATTATTAAAATATCAAAAGTAGAATTTCTGAAATGCTAAATATCTTCTGAAACTCAAATTTGAGTTGGAAGAGATCTTAGACATAAAAAAATCGACTCCCTTTGTCTATTTGTTTCATGACTAATAAAAACAGAAATGAGCTCTAGATGTTTTGGGACTCTGTTTAAATACGTCAAGATACCTTAAAAGTCTCAGAAGCAAAAAGAGAGAAAAAGAGAAAATACTAAATGAAAGATGTAATCTTTTATTTACTCATTATCTGAATCTCCTACCTGTGCTTTCTTTTTTTTTCAATCAGAAAAACTTAGACCATGGACAACAGTAAACAATGATAAAAACAGCAGAATATTTTTCTGTATAGACTGTTTTCCTTATAATTATTTGAATGCCTTTTAAAATTTTTCGTAATTTTCTGATCATAAAAGTAATGTGTTTATAAAATACATACATGTAAAGATTTTAAAAATCACTTATAACCCCACTCCCATAAAAGAATACTTTGACATTTTGGCCTTCATTCTTTCTCTTCCTAAATATCTGAAAAGGGAAGATCATACCACTTCGCTTTTTAATTATCATGTTCAGTTCTGAATATTAGTTGTTTGTTTATAGTTGGTAGGTGCTTTTGTTTTTCTTAAGGTTTTATTTTGGGTCAAAGTAGCTGGATTTTGTTTTCATTTTCCCTTTGAGCTTTTCACTTATATGATAATATTAGTGTCCTTTTTCTTCTACTCATCTTCCAATTTTTTTCAATTCATTTTTGCTATTAAAAAATTGTTTCTTTTCCACTCTCGATGTGCATATTCTCATTGGTCCATGCAACTTAATAACTTGAACTAGAATATTTATACTTTGTATTGATGTTTCATGAATACTTTGAATTGGAAGCTGTTATGCATGCCCTTTGTTAACAGGGCTGATTAAATTGGAATAGCAAGTAGTGATGAGAGAATTGGTGTCTTTCTAAAGATATGTTCAACAGTAATACATGTGTGGTGGTTGACTTGGCACGCCTTCACAGCATTTGAATTTTAGGTTTCTCCCGATTTTTGTGATGACAGTCTGGCATTCTGTTTTAGGACTTAGATGTTTCATTCAGTTGAATCACCAGTAGCTTAAAATTTATGGAATAATTATGTTGATTGATTTTAATTGCTCAGCAGAGCCATCTCAAAAAAAAAAATTAAATGTTGGCAAGCTTGATTTATTTACAACCGTGTCATTAATGTCTCTGAGCATTAGTTAAGTAGGCACTAGATTTCTCTTCCAGATGAGATCTTAAGGCATATAAATTCATGGCATTTGGGTGAGCATATTTGCACTGCTTCTCCTATAAACTGATTCTCAATTATTATTAATGTTTGAGAAAAATGTGTTAGTCCATGTGGTAAGCTACCCAGGAAAGTTTTCAAATTTTAAGATACATTTCGTAAACTGACACTCACAGTACAGGTAAGGTGTCTTCTGATATAATCTCTTTGCCAAAGGTGTTCTTATAAAGTAAACCATTTTATAACCATTTAGAATATTCCTACGCCTTATCTATAAGAAGTGTCCCTCTACTTAAACTCCTCAAGAGTGTAATTTAATCATACTTGACTTATACGTTGGGCTCGTAATTAAAAATTGGACCTTACTGTGTTCTCCATACCGTTTTCAGAGTTCTTCAGGAATCATCTTTGGAAGTAGAATGATGGTATTGTAGCTGAGATCACTTCCTTGGCACCTAAAAAAAAAAAAAGCTTAAAAGGTTGTGTAGGAGACCCATGGCTAACAGCCTTTTGGGTATGACCATGGTGAAGCAGCCGTGAACCTTGACTTTAGTACTGGTATTTAAAACCTTATAAAACACATTTTATTTTTAATAACAGTATTAAGCTCATAGAGAATATTGATAGAAAAGTACTGATAGGGGTTATTGATAATATGGGAAGATTTGTAATGTTTTTGGCCTTAAAATTTTCTAAATAAATGTGGCCATGAGATGTAATGGACAGTCAAAAAGGGTTAAGGAAAGATTTCAGAAGATACGTTAAGAAATATAAACATAAAAGCAAATTTAGCTAGGTATATGAGGGACTGGAGAATGGGGGAGGTGGTGGTGGTATGAGTCTAGGAAATACCAAAGCACATGGGTGTATCTACAAATAAAGGAAATCAAACAAAATATGAGCCATACATATAATGTCTGCTGTATATGGCATTTAATGAAACTCATACACAGTAGAATTAATCTATCTTTCTGAAAAAAGTCAATTTGCTATAAAGGAATATTACCGAGAAAAAGAAAAATGAAGGAACTTTGACTATTTCTTTAGCATGAGGCTATTTTACTCTTCAGTCTCTCCCTCCTTCCCTCCCTCTCTCCCTCCCTCCTTTCGTTCCTTCCTTCCTTCCTTCTTTCTTGCTCTCTCTGTCTCTTTCTGTCTTTCTTTCTTTCTTTCTCACTCTGTCACCCAGGCTGGAGTACAGTGGCATGATCTCAGCTCACTGCAATCTCCATCTCACAGGTTAAAGCAATTCTCGTGCCTCAACTTCCCAAGTAGCTGGGATTACAGGTGCCCACCACCATGCCCAGCTAATTTTTGTATTTTTTTGTAAAGACAAGGTTTCGCCATGTTGGCCAGGCTAATCTCTAACCCATGGCCTCAGATGATCCGCCCTCCCTGGCCTCCCAAAGTGCTAGGATTATAGGCATGAGCCACCATGCCCGGCCAGACTCTTTGGTTCAATAGAATACATTATTTTAGTGTACATTAATTTAAAAATTCATTAATTTTGGATTTATTTGAAATTTTAAATCCCAAGTAACTCATTATTGGCGTAATTCTCTCAGTTCTTGCTTTTATTTCTCTTGTGAGAAATCATAGTAGCTTTGGAACTCACTAGTAATTGTAAAAAGGCTCATTTTTTTTTTTTTCTGTTAGTGCTAATATCTTCTGCTTAGCATTTCAAGTGCCTCTTTAAAGAGTTAATGCACTTCATTATTTCGCCTTGAAATGATTTTTAAGTATCTTAGCAAATTGTGAACAGAACGTCAAGCTCATTTGAATCACAGAAACTTGCCAGCATTTAAAGGCCTTTTTAAGAGGGGGTTATATATCACCATGATAATTTTTTTTTAGTTCATATACAATAATTCTGTTGTATAACTTGAAGGATACATTAGCATTTTCTACTCTGTACTTCGAAAGCATTATTAAATTCTTGGAAATAGTTTGAAAAAGATGCACACATGATATATAAAGTGACATAAGGAATTGGAATGATTTCCCACCTTCCCTTTCAACCTTCCCTTACTCCAGTTCTTCCAGTACAAACTACTCACCTCCACAGACTGGGGAATAATGGCAAGAGGCATGGACTTTAAACTCAAGTATGAACGACATCCCTGTTGCTTTGGTATTTTTACCCTAAGTGAGTTATTTACCCCCTCTGAATTTAAATTTCTAAAATCAAACACTATGAGATTTAATAACTGATATGCAGTATTAAATAGATACTTAATGAATGTCTATACTTTTCCTTTTTTACAGAGCACAAGGTAGGTGAAAAGGAACAGACAGAAGGGATACAAACTGTGGAGGAGGAGAATCAAAACCACCTAAGTGAATAGTGTTTTGTGTCCATTGGCTCTATCATGCCTCCTTATCCAGACTGCCATTGGCCTGGCTCACTAGGACTTTCCCTTTCCCTTGAAGGGTAACAATGGCTTCTAGTCTTTTCCCCCTTACATCTACCCTGGACATGGATACTGACTTAATCCTATTATTTTCTAACCTTTCTAAAGAGGTTTCTGTTTATATTGCTCACCTTCACTCCCCAAGCTGTGGTTTTAACCCCCATGGTTCTCCTAGGCAAGGGAGTATGGTGGCAGAAACATGGTCATCCAGTCTGGGTTGAAAATTGAATATACTTTGGGCCTTAACAAGCAGCTTAACTTCTCTAAGCTTCAGTTTCATCATTCATGAAATAGGGATAATAAGGTATATTTCACGGGTAAGGCTTACATCAGGTAATATATGTCAAATGTGGAGTGTCATTCCAGATAAAATATGTAATCAATAAATCATGAAATCATGATTGTTATAATGTCTTCCTGTTCCAGGACAACCATTTTTAATTACCTCATAACTTTAGAGATTTCTAAGGTTTCCTGAATCTTTTCTTTTCTTTCTTTTTTTTTTTTTTTTTTTTGAGATGAAGTTTCACTCTTATTGCCCAGGCTGGAATGCAGTGATTCAATGGCACAATCTCAGTTCACTGCAACCTCTGCCTCCTGGATTCAAGCAATTCTTCCGCGTCAGCCTCCCGAGTAGCTGGGACTATAGGCGCCTGCCACCACGACTGGCTAATTTTTTGTATTTTTAGTAGAGACAGGGTTTTATTATGTTGGCCAGGCTAGTCTCAAACTCCTGACCTCAGTGATCCACATGCCTCGGCCTCCCAAAGTGCTGGGATTACAGGCGTGAGCCACCGCACCCAGCCCCCTGAGCCATTTCTATTTTGGTGCCCTTATGCAGGGGTTTCTTTCCATTTAATGCCTTCCGTGTAAAATTTCTTTTTACTCCATCTTTGACTATTATACTCACACCTACTTTTAGAAATCCCATTCAACTTCCTCCTCCTTTTTTCTAGTTCCTTTATTATTTGTATCTCAATCTGAATAGTGGAAATTTCTTCACTAATTTGTCAGGTCTTTATAGGTGTAGACTATGCCTTAATTAACTTTTTTCCACAATTCCACTTTCCAGTTTTTCACATTTCTCAGGATACTTGTATTGAACCTGGAAGTTGGAGACAATACTTAGGAAATGAAGCGTTCAATGTGTGACAGGCCTTCAAGGTTGTTGACTTCTTAGAAGCTAAAATGCTGATAGCAAGGCATTCCTTCATCTAAACTATGAAGATTTCTTAGTGATGATATATTTGGAGTATTCATTACTATTTCATAAGGCTTTATCATACTCTTTTGCAGGGTTTCAAACAATCAGCAGGAAATATCTGCTGAAACCATGATGTTTTCATTTATACACTTAAGTTTTGACACTGCTTTTCAAAGTTTCCCTCCTTTACCTTGACAGTTAGCTAATTTAGAAAACTAATAATCTAAGCAAATTCATAAGGCTTTTTTTTCTGACACGTGAAAGTGGAGGAGGAGTAGCTGTGAAATAATTACTTCCTAAGCTTTGTTTTTATCTGATTCTACTAGTGACTCTGAAAATATTGTTGATGCACGAAATGATAGAGTTGAAGTAAATTTTGATGGATGAGCTGAATTAACTTGCTAATGATATAAAACCTTTACTTGGAGTAGTCTATAGCATGAAACAGGATTCACTAATATGGTTTCAACCTGCACTTGCCTTTTTTAATGCCCTTTCATAGGGGATAGTAAATTATCAAGCCCGTGTCCCTTTACCTGAGCCCTATTAGCAGTTTCCGCGTAATAAAAGCAATCATTGTCTTTACTAAAGGCCATCGACTTTCTTCCCTGTAATCTCAAAGAGAAATCCCACATTTATTTACTTTTTAAAAGACATTTTATCTTATTTTTAAATTTTGATCTATGTATTTATGCATTTTGGGACCGGGTCATAAGACTGACTAATTTTTGTATTTTTGGTACAGAAGGGATTGCAACATGTTGCCAAGGCTGGTCTCAAACTCCTAGGCTCAAGCGATCCACTTGCCTCGGCCTCCCAAAGTGCTGGGATTATAGACATAAGCTGCAGCGCCTGGCCCCCACATTTATTGTCATTGAGCATTTTTAATGTATACTCTGTTTCAATCAAAGTTTTATTGAGCACCTACTATCTCCAAGCCCCCACGTGAGACTCACCACTTAAGGCAGACTTCCTCTACTAGTTAACCCTAGAGTGCTAAGAATGTGCCCTGTAAACATGTTCTTTAATTTGACTCAACAAAAAATTGCTTTTTAAATCTGAATTGTTATGCCTGAGTATTTTTTGCTTTGTACAGAAAGTCACAGTCAGCTTTTTCCTTCTTAGAAATACTTGTGTTGCTGCTGTTGTTGTTCTGTTAAGTACGTCCAGATTCTATCTGGCAATATTTCTTCTTTCTTTTAAAGATAGAGATAATTAGCACTGATTAGCAAAGAGATATATGTACTAATAATCTTAACTAGGTAGTTGCAAAATCCAAAACATTGAATACTAGGGAAATTTGAGCTTCAGGCTGTTCCAGGTTGTTAAGGAATAGGGCCAGAAGTTTTTTTCAACAAATAGAAAATCTAATACAAGCCTTTTGCTCAACATTTTAAATGAAGTTGAGTTTCTTAATACTGAGGTACCTTTTGGGCCATATTAGTAAATGCCAATTACCTTTTATTTTTATTTTTTAATAAAGAGTATGCAGTGTCCTGGTTATCCTCTTTACATTCTTGGTTAACTGTAGTTACATTGATAAGTATCTGAATCAATTCCTTTGGAGTTCCAATTATTGGGAAGAAACTACTTGGAATTCTTCACAGGATAAGTGATTATCAAGCAAGGTTCCTACCTTGAACATTTTCTTGTTTTGAATAACAAATCTTCCGCGGAGGGTGGTTAGACAGAACTCATTTGCAGTAAGTGTCTGTGTACCCAGTCTTGGAAATAATTAGATAGCTTTGTAGCATAGTTTCACAAGCCTCACTCAGTATATGGATTCTTAAATAAACAATAAGAAAGTGATATTATGAAGAAAGACAGCCCACATACAAATCCCCTAGTATAATAAAAAGTGATTAAAGTCATTGTTCAAGAGAGGCAAGATACTTAAGAATCTACTTATGAGGCTCTACTAAAATGTTATATTGCTACTAAATATCAGAACATGTTAAATAACATTGTTTGCTTTTGTTATTTTTTGTACGTCATATAAGCTGGCAAAAAGCTTCTTTGGAAACAAAAGGGGCAAGACACTTTCTTGTCTTTGAGTACTGATTTGAGCTATGAGCTACATTCAGGAATTCTTATTAGGGTCATGTGACATCTTAAATGTGCTATAGTGTAGCAGCTTGCTAACGGTGTCAACTTATGTTGTTAGCAGCCATTCACACCTGTTGATGCATGGCAAGATAGACTCTCCCCAGCCATAGGCAACAGTTCTCATTAGAACAAGAAGTCTCTTTTCATCTCTTCATTTTATAAAGATGTTCGTTACCGTCATTTATCAATCTATCCCTCCAATTTCTTGAGGCCCCTCTCCAAAGTGTTTCCGTTCATCTTGTAATCATTAAGTACAGCATTATAAAATACATTATTATTATTATTTTTGTTTGCGATAAGAACACATACCAGAATATAGTATTGCTAACTGTAGGCACTATACTTTACAGTAGCTCTCTGGGACTTCTTCATTTTGTGTAACTGAAACTTATGTCCCCTTTCACTGATACCTCTCCATCCCCCTTTCCCCCATCCCCTGACAACTACCATTCCACTCTCTACTTCTGTGAGTTTGACAATTTTAGATTCATCATATAAGTTGTATCTTGTAAATAAGAGAGCAGGATGACTTTTGGAGGTTATGGATAGGTTTATGGCATAAATGCTGGTGATGGTTTCACAATTGTATACTTACTCCAAAGTCATCAAGTTGCATGTATTAGATATATACAACTTTTAGTATGTCAGTCTTACCTTAATAAAGTGGCTTTTAAAATACACTAAACTTTGCCAAAGGTTTGATTGGAGTGTGGCATTTCCATTCTTTCTGGCTTTTGAATGGCTACATGTGAATAGCCCTCCACCTATTTTGAGTAATCTCAAAATCAAAATAGCTTTTTGGAGGAAAATCTTCCATTCCGTACTATTTGAGTTTCTCATTTAAGGACTGGCAAAGCTTTAACTTTTCAAGCGACTGCTGAGTAAGAAAATATTGAGCTTTCTTAGTATACTTTACCATCATTAACAATTTAGGGTTCATTGGCTTGAAATAATATTTTGCTTATCTCACAAAAGGATTTTACCTTCTAAATCATTTAACTCAATTCACCAGTGCTTGCTATATTGTCACTCTGTAATTCCTAATTTCTACAGTGCGGTAGTTATTTTTTCTGAAGGATATTGTCCTTCAAGAGGTGATCTGTTGTCAAATTCCAATTAATATTCAGATTGCCACAGGCTTTTTTCTCTCTCTTTCACATTTGTTAAAGGGCATCACTAGATCTTGAGAGGGTATTAAAGAGCATTTGCTAGATGTAAAGAGTGCATACACCAATAACTTGACTTAGTAGGTTGAAAGGGGAAAAAGCAAAGTGTAGAGTTAAAAGTACGTAAACCTTATAAATACTGCCAAGCCAGTAACACCTGTTCAAGACATTAAAAGAAAATCTTATAATATTGAGAATGTAAACCCTTAAAGCTTAGAAGTTTTAAGCTTCTGCATCTTGCAATTAAGAAAATAAGAATACATGTTTAAAATATGAATATTAATCTGACATATTTCTGCTAGAGGAGATTATATTAATAATTTACCAGGATATTTTGAGTTAGTATTTTTTTGAGTGGGTACTCTTGGTATTTAACATTTACTAATATATAAGCATCTTGAAAACCAGAATTGTATTTACAAGTATGAACTCTATAGTCAAATAAATATTAAGTTAGCAATTAGTAAGGGTTAGAGACAAGATTAAAAAACTCAGTAGGGAGTTGCGGTAGTTGAGGTGGATGTGGCCCCCCAGAAGCCCCACCTGGTGATGTTCACACCCTTGTATAATCCCTTTCCGTTGAGGATGGGCTGGACCTCATGACTTGCTTCTAATTTAGAGAATACAGAAAAAGAGAAGGAAGAGCCAGATTACTGAAAATGGGCCAAACAATTATTAAGAATATCTTAAGGAGTATGTCTCATCAACGGACAAAAGCTAAGCCAAAAACACCCTGGACAACGAAGCTCGTAATTTATTGGCATATAATTCCTGAGAGCATATATCTGCCAGATAAAAGTACTGCAATTGGAAACACATCAGAAATCACTTTATGGCAGTTATCCTGAATATATACTCAAAAAGTGTTTTATTTCAGTTTCTAATGTTTGGAGACTGTAGAGAGATGATGACGAAGAAACAACTGAGGATTTCAACTATGTTAACGTAGTTTTAAAAATAGACAATCAGCTTTTAAGAAGAAATTCTACCACCATTTATTGAGTGCCTGTTTTCTACTGTATATCGATAATACATGGTTCTAGGATTAAAATGAGACTACATTTTAATCAATAGAGTCAGTGGAAAAAATAGTCATCATCTAATTCAAATTCTATATGACATGTATGATAAATGCCAAATCAGCTATGGCTGACTGGGTGACTGTGAGTCCAGCCCTAAATGTGTGAAATATTGACAGGCTGAATGGTTTTCTAAAAATTCATTCTTATAGTTGTCATCCTTCTTTAATATATGGAAGTTGAGCTTTGCATATAACATTTTAACGTGACAATTCTCTAGATGTACTTTGGTCATTCTAGGTTTTTAAATGGACTACAAGTTCTAATTCCTAACTAATGCCCTTTAAAGAGCTTTTGGGTACAAGCTCAATCAATACAACAGTAGAAAGACATTTTAATAAAAGGTTCTTAGCATTGGAAGTGTGAAAACTCATTACATTTCAGGAATTAGATTTTCTTTCTGAATATAATTGGAATGGAAATATTTTATTTGGCTGATGGCAGCACTATAAACCAGCTCCGTAGTAGACTTTGACATCTATATTTACTACTAGATGATGTTTGTGCAGACCTTTAATTTGGCTTGAAATGTAATCATGCCTAGATGTGTTTAACTAGGATCCTAATCTTTGAATCTACTATCCAATACTAAGTAGAATGTGAACGCTATGTGGCATTAAAAATTTAAACACACACACACATCATCTAGACAAACTAGATAATAAAACTATTTAACTGGGAGCCCCGCAGAGGGCTTTTGGTAGCTTAGATCTAGACTGGCTCTCTGCGTCCACCTCTTCTCTTGTTATCCCAGGGATTCAGGCTGCATTCTTCCTCTACTATTCATCCGTTTCAGGTTTTCTCTCTGATATGTCAAGAGTGGACTACAATCTCTTGTTTCCATCTCAGACAACAAGCACACAGGCCCTCTTCTTCTAGGATATTTCTACTAATCACTAAAGGAAAGTGGGATACTAAAACAAAACAAAACAAAAAAACTGCCGTTGGCAGGATGTCAAGGTATTAGAGTCATTCTGCTAACTCTGTAGTTAGCAACATACATTGAAAAATTATTTGAATGTCTTTCTAGGCATTTTGCTAGGCATTGAATATACAGAGATAAGAAACAGCTAGCCTTCAAAGACTTCACCATAGAATGTAAATAACACAGCAATTACAGCCCAATGTGATAAGGGTACAATAGAAAAGAAGAAAATATATGCTATCACAGGAACACAGAAGGTGGGAAATGATTAATCTGTAGGCAGACGGGACAGGCATGCCAGGTAGAGGAATTAGCATGAGCAGAAACATACAGGCAAGAAAGAACAGAATGAATTTTGGGATTTGAAGACCCCATGTTGAGCAATGAGGCACAGTGGGTAGGCATGAACTGCGAGATCACTGGTTCTCAAAATGTATTCCCCCAACTAGCAGCATCAGCATCACCTGGAAATTTATCAGAAATGCCAATTATCAGACCCCACCCAAGACTCCTGATTCAAAAAGGGAGATTTAACTAGCCTTTCAGGCACTTCTGATCCACACTAAAGTTGGAAAACCACTGTTCTAGATTATGTCACAGCTATAGACTGAAGTTCTTATTTTAAAGCCAATAGATTTTAAACAGGAAAATGACATGTGTTGGATTTGATATTTTTATATCAAAAGAGCTGTCTGAAAGCAATGTGGAGAATAAATTAGTGCACATGTGATGAGAGGTGAGGGAATGGGATGGAGGGTAGGGAACAAAATTGGATGATGCTTAATAGGCTGTTGCAGTAATTCAGGTGAAAATAATAGGACATGAACTGAAGAGCTGTGATGAATAAGGATTTGAAAAATATTCAATAGCTAGTCATTTTCAGATTATTAAGAATGTTCTATGACCTGTTTACTATAGTTCAACTGAATGTGGACTCACTTATCATCACTACCCCTCTTCCTATCTTTTGGCCCCACTTTTAGGGATGGCCACTGGAAACTTTTCTTTGAAGAACACTTAAAATGTAAGTGTTCCTCCCATACAAGTGATCAGTTTCATTTCTAAACAAGATGAAACAGTTGTTTAGGTATTTGTCTCTGGTATCCAGACACAATTATATCAGAGTATTTCCTCTGGTCTTGAATCAGAATTCCCTTTACAGCTCTGACTGATTTGAACAAAGTTACATGTATAGCAGAGAGGATTTTCTTTATGGTGTAAGCAATAATTTTATTATTTTTCTGACTAAAATAAAAACAAATAGGAAATTATTTACCAATTCTTCTGGTGATTCCACATTTGTGGTTCTTGCATTTATAGGTAAACACTTATTTATTACATTTACTAATATGTATTTAGCACGTACTATAATGCAGCAACATAAGTGAAAATTATCTCATGCATACTTTAAATATGTAATACCAGATTAGGATGATGATGAAACAGGATTCAAGAATCACTGTGTTCTCAACATCTATTGAACTCTCTTATGCATCAGTCTCTTTGTTCAGTACTTTACATGCATTATTACTTAATCCTCAAAGCTCATACTAGTGTTTTTTATTTCAATAAAGATTTGAGATTATAGAGGTTAACTAGCCTGTCACTCCTAATAAGGAGCTGAGACTATTTGAGCTTCAGAACAGTGTGACAAGAAAGCAAAGAGAAATACTGTCCGTTTTTCATAGATCGTTCTGAAAAAGAACTTCAAGACCATGTTAATACAGGTGCAGAGAGATATGAGCTCTCACATATTCTTGGTGTGAATATAAGGTGATATAGTTTTTCAGGAAAGCAACCGGGCTATATCTATCTAGATGGAAGCATAAAAGTGTCCATATTGTTTGATTTAGAAACCTCATTTCTGGGATTTCTAGGAAACTAGTTTATGGAAATAATTTGAGATGCATCAAAGAAACATGTATTCTGATGTTTTTCAGAAACACTTGAAATGGAAGAAAGGGTTTGGATAGAAAGGAACACCCCAATATGAAAAGTGAGGCCCTACATCAGTGGCATCATGGGACTCCTTCTAGGTGATTTCATAGAACTAGGTTCTCACTTTTCATGTTGGCGTGCTTCTGCCTATCCAAACCCTTGAGATCCAGGAAGACTTTGATATGTATAATAGGGTCATTAAGTCAAGGATAAATCTGATGAATCTCCTTGAATCATCAACTTAAGTTGATGATTTGGAGTGAGGTTGATTTTATATTACACATAGATGTTGTATTAGTAGAATTAGGAAGTATATAAATGTTATGACAAAGTGATGGACTTCAAAAAACTTTCCAACCACTTTGAGATACACTACTGTCAGACCTCCTAAAGGAATTTTCTCTCCTTTGCTATTAAGCATGGCAGATACCTCAGATGGAAAATTTGACAGGTGTGAATTTAAATGAATAAATGTTGTTATTAATAAAACAATAACATTTCCAAGAATTAAAAAGTAGAGTTATAAAAATAATACCTACGGAAGCCACAGAGTCATCAAACCCATTTGACAGATGAAGGAGCTGAGAGCTAGGGAAAGTCAGTGACTTATTCAAGGCGTTAAAAATGGTTCAGAGCATGACTATAACCACTACTTGGATCTCCATATACTCAGTACTTTGTTGAGCTGCCTCTAAATTCCTGAAAGACGGGTAGCATTACTAATACTATGTTAGATTATTTTCTCAGCAAATTAGCAATATTTTTCATGTCTGTGAATGATCGAGTAATTCAGCTGGGATCATTTAGGAGGCATCAGATTAACTGCAAAAGTGACAGCATGTTCAAATCATACTCTCATGAAATCACATAGAATGGACAGTGGCTGAATATTTTGTTATTGTGAGGTTTTGCAATTTGGTCTTTATATACACTAAGTCTTGTAGAAGTCTTGTAGAAGTCATCCTATTTTGCTTGTTTTTCTCCTCTAAACACCTATGCCCTCTCCATGAATACTGAGTGAAAGCGATGGTTTTCTTGAGGAAAGAACCACAGCTTTCTGATTCTAAACCTAGTACAAGCCCTGGCTCTGCCAATTTCAATTCAACAAATATTTATGCCACTCTCTAATCTAAGTCAGGTCAATTTATCTCTGTCCTCGTTTTGCTCAACCATGATGTGTACGTGCTTAAAAGGGAAATTATTCATTTGAAAATCTCTATCCATCTAAATGCTGGCTCTAAGGTAGTTTTGAGCTGGATAGATGACACCACTGGTCCAACTTGAACAAAGTTGTGCTTCTAGATGTCTCTTCATGTTTGCAGAGGCAGATGCTAACACGTAGAATGTTTTTATAAGAATATTCTTTTTTCTTTCTTATTGAAGAAAGAGCTCTTAGAAGAAATATTAATCTTATTAATATACAACCAAATAATCCAACTTTTAAAAGCCAAGGCTATTTGCATTAGGTGTTGAGGCAACATATGACATGAATGATAATTTGCAATTGATCTAGAAAATCACCAGTGAAAGATAAGATGATTAAGTCCAAATTAGCTGATGTAATGTTCTAAGCTAATCCAGTTAATCAGAAAGCAGGCACTTTTAAACTTCCCTTTGTGCTATGTAAATACAGTCTTTTGTAATACTAATTTAATTCCTTATTTACATAAGCATGTAAATTTCTATTTGTTTTGACTGGCTAAATTTAAACACAGAAATATACATACAGTAAAGCAATCAAAATGAATGAAATAAAGAGTCCTATGCCTTAATATCCTTAAACGGTTAGCATAATTGAATGGTTTTCTTGAGACACTTGAACTTACAGGAATTAAATGAGAACGATATGTATTTCAGAGTTATTTTAGGATGGCATGAAACTTGAATAAATTTTGAATAAAAATTTGAATAAACGTGCCATGATTATTATAAGTGACAAGTGTTAGCCTGCACATCAAGTAGAAAAAAGATTATTAGATCTTTTAATTATCTCAAAATGTGGGAAATGTGTTAAAACTGATGGTATATAAATTTCCTTGAACCAGTAATTAGTCTGTTTCTCTTAAATTACCTATTATGTCTTCATTTCTCCCTAAGAAATAGCTCCCATTTCCATTTACCTAGTAGTAGAAGACTTTAACAAGGTTATATCCTATTAACTCATGAGAGCAGAGCTTGAGCATTAACTATAGGTCATTACCCTGATCTTATTCCTATTACCACTCCCCTTGAATATTTAGAAAAATCATTTAATTGCTGTTTTTAAATTTTACTCCAAAAAAGGATTAGCAATTTTTTAATCTACTCATTTCCAAAATACAAAAAATATGCAGAAAAATTTTACTTTGTCCAACATGGATTTTGACCAATTTCCAAATTCCAGGTGTTGTCTATATTTAAGGTGATAATTTTAAAATTTGTTGTAATTAGTGGATTGTTTGTAATTGCCTTTTGGGGCCTCCTTAAAGTAAGTCATCACTATTATCATAATAATGTGTGACAAAACAATTATACTGCATATGATGACATTTTTTCCATTTCTATTGCCAGAAAATATTTTTTAGCTATTGACTGATTTTTTTAGATGTTGACTAAACAGACACAACATACTATAACTTAATCTGCTGCTCTGCTTTGAGAGAATAAATGAGTCAAGATTCTTCGCTTGGATTGATAGTGGTTCCACTGGCAATTGTAGGAAATGCAATGGAATTTTAGTGAAGGAAAAAATTGAAATTGTTTGTCAGCATGTCAAGTTTCAGCTGCTCCACACGATTCAAAATTGGAGCTTTGACCCTGCCTAAGACCATGATGAACAGTCATTTCTTATTTGTGCCCTGTTTTACCTACTAGAATTCAAATTCTATTAGAGAATATATCATCATTTGCTCATTAAATAGTTAAATGAATGGTCCATTGTGAGAAAACTGAGGATTCCTTCCAAGAGTTTGAAATAAACCTCTGGAGAGCTAATTCAGAATTACAGGGACTATAGATTTCAGGTTCTTAGGCATGGGCAAGCAACTTTGAATCAGATAGGAATGGACACCAGTTCATACTGTAGCTATTTTTTCTACTTAAAATTGTCTTACCTGTGCTTATATATTGATTGATTTTTTAATTTATTATTTGTTATTCTCTTTTTAGAGTTGGGGTCTTGCTCTGTCTCCCAGGTTGGAGTGCACTGGCAGAATCATAGCTCACTGCACCCTTGAACTGGGCTCAAGAGATCCTTCCACCCCACTCTCTCAGTTCACTGGGATTACAGACCTGAGGCACAGCACTCAGCTCTATAGCTTTGATTTAGTCTTAGAGAAACACAGAAAAACTAGAGTGATTTCAAATCCATTGTTCTATTTTCTCTTGAAAGGACACATTTTTCTGCACAGTGTATTCTAAATAGTTGATGATGCAAAAGAAAAAGAAAAAGGAGCTCATTTTAAAAAATGGGTAACTATTGCCAGTATCTGTTAACTACTGGTAAAATTGTCTTTCAACAGAGAAAACTGAAAGTAGTATAAATGATAGTAGGGAAGTTTTAGGAAAACTTAATGTAGATGTGAAATGTGTCTGTTTGCCTCTTACTGCTATGGTGAGAATGGAGTTGCAGAGAACTGTAATTAACTGTCCAGAACAAATGGAGATAGCAAACATTGCCAGGCAGGCAAAAATGGTAATTACAAACTATAACTTACTCACTAGTTAATTGGAATAAGAACCTACATTTGAATCATCTTGCATGATTTAGTTCTAGTCTAATGTGTTTGCTTTGTAAAGTCTAAAACCAGGATAGTTTCAGTAGACTTCAAAACAATGTGTGCTCTCTGTATTTTTCTATTAATGGTGTTTGTGACTTCGAAAATTTACAGGTTTTAAATTTATTCTGTTCATTTTATTATGCTATTTATTCTGTTCATTTTATTATGCTATTTGTAATTAGTCATTTATCTAGAAGAATAAGCACATTATGGTTTGCTATTATTCTTGAAAAATCAGGTAGGTTTTGTTGACCCTAGAACACTTTGTAAATGTATTGCCCATTTTTGCTGAAAGTCAGGCTCTTTCAGGAGGGAAGATGAAGATTTTGATGGAGAAAATTGTTTTTGTTAGTTTTGCCAAATTAAAATTGTGTTCAAGTCCATGGGATGTACCAATGTGATATCTGAATCTTTTTTTTTTTAAGACAGAGTCTCGCTCTGTCACCCAGGCTGGAATGCAGTGGCACGATCTTGGCTCACTGCAACCTCTGCCTCTGGGGTTCAAGCTATTCTCCTGCCTCAGCCTCCTGAGTGGCTGGGACTACAGGCGAGCGCCACCACACCCAGCTAATTTTTTGTATTTTTAGTAGAGATGTGTTTCACCATGTTGGTCAGGCTGGTCTTAGACGCCTGACCTCAAGTGGTCTGCCCGCCTCGGCCTCCCAAAGTGTTGGGATTGCAGGCGTGAGCCACCGCACCCGACCCTGAATCTTTCACAATGACTTTGAACTTGAATACTAGTATTAGGCTGATTTTTTCCTATAGCCTCATTTCAGATTTGGATTAATTAATAAGGAAAGATATCATTCCATATAGCGCAAGAACTTCAAGGAAAGACGCTATCACCTGGTTTATGAAAACAGCAAGTGGATGGGTCTCAAGCAATATTTAAAAATTGAAAATAGACTAATTTATATTTCTATTACCTCAGTTCCCAGAAGGGATATCACATTGACTAAGATATCAAATGCTTGTCACTTATTCTCTCAAACATGCATTGCTTTTAAGAAACTTAAAACATTAATGCAAGACTTTGGCAACGTTGTAAATGTGTCCTCAGTAAGGAGGTAAATGTATATTCCGCTGAGTTAAGACAGCATACTTCGGCCAACATGAACTATAAAAGGAAAGTAATAGTTTTGTCTTAAAAGTGATGTAGGTATGATTGAGGGGATAGTTGTTATTTTGTCTACCCAGTGCAGAAGCCGTGTGGCCAATTTGATCAACTCTTAAAAATAAAGTAATAGAGACACAAGTTTTAAGCTGTTTTGTATAAATTAATGCTTGATATATTTTCAAGGTAGATATTAAGTACCTTAGATTTTTTTAACCAACATATTTAAGTGTATACTGTAGAGTATCCAGTAAGCTCTGGTACATTACTCTTTGTAGCAAACAAAGAGTACATATTTGTTTGATATATGAAATACACTGGTACAAAATTCAAGAATGAAGTGATGTTCTGCTCTTAGGATTGGTAATGCCATTCTATGTAAAGTTATTCTGTATGTCAGAATTTCATCTTATGACTGACTCAATGTGTTTATTGTGTGGAAGAATAGAGAGGTTCATTTTAGTGTATAGGTGTTGCCTTGTACGATTAGAGGCAAATATCTGATTTACTTAGGAACTAAATCAGAGACACGTTGGGATGATGTGTTATTGGGTTGCAGACAGAAGAGTTCTGAGTTAGACTGTGTTAAACTTATCAGCATGGGTTAATCTACAGAAGTTTGTAACCAGCTCTACAGAGAATGAAAGACCTTCAGCCTCACTTTCAAGTAGAGAATTTTAGAATCACCCTTGGGCCCTGTTTTGTTAATGGAAATGTTCACAGATCCAGCTGTCCCTTGGCAAAATTGAAAAGTAGATAACATTTAATGCCCTTTACTTCAAAGGGTATGACTTCTTTTCCCAAGGTGCTCACTGAGTCATTGTTGATCAGAAACGCCTCAGTGTTCAGACCATTACTGATGGCCATCTTCATCCAAATGGTCTATTTTCTCAGGCCTTTGTTTTCTGTAAGTGTCATAATTAGTAATAATGCTCATATTGATAAATAATATTTTTGAGTGCTGTGTGTTTTGGGTTAGTAAAACCCTGTTAAATTCTCACTGGTTCCCAGTTCTGGAATCACTTTGAAGCTATATTCTGAGTTGTCTTGTCATAACAAATTAACAGATGTAATCTAATCATTCTACGCACCTTCTAAAAGTAAGAATTTTTGAAATGAAATGTAACTTAATATTTCCTTCATTCTAAACTGATTCCTGTTTATTTTAGCAAAATGACTTCAATAAGTTAAATGGGCCTGTCGTCGTTTATCAGAATGAGCCATTTGCTTGTATTTGAAAACATGTACTTACGGAAAGATCATTTGAATGAGAGCTCTGAGTTTTAGACCCACATACAGTACTAGCTAGTTGTGATAACTACATTAAGTCAATTCACCTTTCTGAACTTTAGTTTCATTATTGGGATAAAATAAAGGGTTTTCTTTGATCATCAGTTTTCTTAAATTTACAACTAATTCTTACCTTACAACTTTAGTTGACTTAACATAGTTATCTTTCCTCTTTAGATTTTCTTTCTTAACAGTCCTTGGACACCCAATACTTTTCCCGTGAATCATCCATCCAATCATTTGATAAACACTAATTGAGCACCTATTATGTTTCAAGCACTGCATGAGATGCTAAGGTCACAACAGTGGAAAAAAATAAGTGGCCCTTCTGCAGCTTGTAGTCTAGTGGGAGAAAAAAAGATTAATGAAAAAAATCAGACTATTTAATGTGAAATTACAAATGTGATGCATGCTGCAATTAGAGAAGAGTGTGGTCGCATGATAATGAATACAGAGAAATTTTCAAAAAAGAAAGGTAATTGCTAAGGCAAGTGTTAACCAGTGATGTGTCTGATGGATGTGTCTGTGTTGATATTTCTGACAAAGAGCAAATAGGAGCAAGGTGTGCAAATAGATTAGAGATCAGGTAGGAGTCTTGTAAAGTATCAGTTTTATGATCCTGTCTATTCTCTGCAGAAATGTTGATTTAGTGTTTGGGACAAAATCTAACTCTCACGGGACTTATAATTTAGAGGAGCAATCTAATTAACCCAAATTTGGTTATCCATGGCTTTCTGTGAGCTCTTTCAATTACATTTAGAAGAATAGTATGGGAGGAAAATCCACAAATTCTAGGCATGGTTCCATCTGGATGTGTTTGTGTGTAGAGATTATTTCTGGTGCCATATTAGTATCTACTAATATGTATTAGTATGTATGGCTACCTGTCCTTATCTCTCAAGTCTGATTCTGTTCAGCATAGGTAAGCCTTTTTCTGAACCTCAAGGAGTGCTTTAAGCAGTGGGACGCTAGGAGTTTCTTGTTCATGGGTTAGTGCTAATCAGTTTAACAAATATTTGGAGAACCTATTCGGTGTCAAGCACTGTGCTGGCAATAAAGGCTATGTAGATGATTAAGGATATGTGAAGTTCATAATTTAGTAACTTCCTAATTTAATAAGCTCAAAGTCTAATTATTTAGCAACTTCCACTATGTCCTTGTATGTGGAATTTGAGAAAATACGGAAATACTTAGTCTTGGCTTTTAGAAATAATCACAGAAAAACAACATGGAGTAGTTATTTATAAAATAAGATTTAATTTCAAATGGAATAATCTAGCTATGTTTACATTTCTCAAGAAAAATAGAATTGTTCCCTTAGAAGTTTTAAAAGCAGGCACTATCTGTCAAAGTTTTACCATGGCTGAAATTTTTAACATTGAATTTAGTACTTTAAATTGGTGAAACTATGGGAGGTAATTCATATGTGTAATTAGCTAGACTTAGTCATTCCACAATGTATAGATACTTGGAAATATCATGTTGTACATATAATTTTCTCTGTCAATTATGATGAGTGAAGGAATGAATGAATAAGTAGATAAGTGGTGTCTATAATCCCTGAGTAAATAACATACATAAGTGAAGCAAGTTTTTTGTCCCTGGAAGTTTTGGTTGAATGAGTAAATCTCTTAAGTGGGTGAGGAAGTGCACTAAATCCGAATGTACTGAGGTTGACTTGGGTCTCCGTTCTCTGAATACTCTTCTTCTGCATTACAGCAGTAGATGGTTCTCTTACCTAATACTCTTTCTTCATGTTTTTTTCCTAACCTTCTTTAGCTATCATTTCTTAAATCTATTTACCCTTACTCTGTCAGAAAAAAAAAAAAGCCAGCACATATACACAAGGAAAACATCTTCTTGCCCCCAGTAGAGTAGACCTGACCTGTCTTAGAGGAAACTAGTCATGACTCTGTTCTGTCAAGCTCTGACCTAAGAGGTAAAGTGAGAAGAATGTTAATTTATAATATTGAAACAACAGTTTTGCATACTTTTTCAGGTAAGGAGGCTTTGGTTCCTGTAAGTCAAACCAAAGAGACATAACTTAAGAACACTCTATGAGATTCCTCTGGGAGTTGGGACAAGAGCTCTGAGTACATGCAGAAGGGGTCAGTGCTGTGGTCAAAGATACTTGGCCTTCTAGAAGAGGCAGCTGTGCAACTCTATGAGTGTAGAAGAGAACTACAGGTATAGCCAATACTTGGCATTACCATAGGATGTGTCAGGATTAACTAGAAGGCACTCTCAAAGCCTTCCAGTAAAATAACCAAAACATCAGGAGAAAATAAGCGTAAGAAAGATGTTGATGAGAGGCACTCAGAAAAGGGAAAGATATTTTGCACATTATAATTGAGTTTTAAATCATCTAGTGGAATTACCCCTTAAAAGGGAATTTTATATCATGTAATTTTATCTAATTATCTACTTAAACATGGGAGCCAAATTCACTTATCCACAGCCTCTAATGTTCATTTTAAGTGTGAAAATAGGCAACAAAAAAGTAAGCATATGAGTACAAACTAAACAATTTCCCCGTAATATTTTGGTAGTACACATCACTGTGAGCCAAGTGTGGTGGCTCAGGCCTGTAATCCCAGCACTTTGGAGGCTGAAGCAGGAGGATCGCTTGCAGCCAGGAGTTCGAGATCAGCGTACGCAACATAAAGAAATCCCGTCTCTACAAAAAATTTAAAACTATTTTTTAAAACAATGAAACATTAGTTGGGCTTGTTGATATGTGCTTGTAGTCCAGCTACTCAGAGGCTGAGGCAGGAGAATCACTTGAACCCAGGAAGTCGAGGCTGCAGTGAGCCAGGATCATGCCACTACATTCCAGCCCAGGTGACAGAGTGAGAACCTGTCTCTAAAATAAAAAGAAAAGAAAACAACAACAACCAGCAACAAACAAAAACATAATCTTGGGCACATGGAAGATCTCTCTTTCTTTCTAATTATATTCCTGCTCAAATATTATGTTAAGGATTCAATATTTATTTTTTTATTGTTCATGAAAGTGTTTTTTATTGTTCTAAGATTAGATGTATCCAAGTTTATTCTTTCTTCAGCATTTGCTTTTTCTTGACTTCATGTCAGAAATTAAATACATCTGCTTTCCTAGTAGCAGAGAGGATTTGAATGAAGATCGACATTTCTGGCTGTCCTTTCTGAATAATGTTTCCACTTGAACTTGGCAGTTTAACAATACTTCCAATAAATAGTGCCATAGAATAATTCACTTACTGTTTAATGCCACTGTTTTAAAATCTCCTGCTACCACCTTTCTCCATATATGGTCTTCCCTGGATCATATTTTGTATTTGTGAGCACTCTGATTGAAAGTTAGTGTGCGGAAAATCTTGAGCTATTCAATAAATACAGTTTAGTTACCAAAAACTTAGGTTCAGGTATCAGACATTAGATTGTAGTCCCAGTTTCTACCAATATCCAGGCTTGCTTAGAGCTTTTCACACACTGCATGAACCTTATATTGGGGCTGATAGTATTATATAGAGCCTGGTTATCTTTCAAGTGATCCCCACCCTATCTCCCTGGGGGAAATCTCTGCATTTATTCTGTTGTTCTGGCTACCAAAATCCCCTTTCTCTGTTTTGATTCAGCATTTCTCCCTTTACATTGGCTCACTTCATGTGGTCCTGGAGGAGCTATCAATTAAGGTGTTGCCATCCCCAAAGGGTAGGCACAGGACTCAAGCTTGGCCACTTGGATTCTCTTACTTCTCAATTTGGTTCTTAAAGTGACACACAAGGATGAAAACAATTGGAGCTGCATTTTTCTTTAAAGTGACTGTCCATTGATTTATTAGGTTGATGCAAAAGTAATTGTGTTTTTTGCCATTATTTTAGTGGCAAAAAAGACAGGACCCAGGGAAGTTCTGAGCGCTACGTTTCACATTATTTTGGTTCAAAAGTAATTGCACCAACCTAATAAAATATTTAGCACTCAGACCTTCCCTGGTTCCTGTCTTTATGTGGCCATTTTGTTCAGTTTTCCTGTGATTCTGAATCACGCAGTATCCTTCCAACAAATCCCTTTTATTTTTGCTTAATATGGAATCATATTCAAGTTTGCCTAAATTTCTGTGGTTTATAACCAAAGGATTATAGCAGTATTGGGGGCCCACTAGACTGGAATTATTTCTAGTCTTTAAAATAGGTTGATTGTTTTGTTTGGCTAAGGGAACAACCAGATAAATTATATTTTTGAGATCTCTGAATCTGACTTTGCAATTAAAGTGCTTGGACTGAATCTAGATCATAATTTCGAAGTTCAGGGAGAAGAAGGTTTCTGCGGGTATCTGCTGGATACTTTTCATCTTGGGTAGGCTATGCAACCTGCTGGATGGATTCCTGTAGAACATCTTCCACTGTAGCTGGCATGTGTCTTGTCTAATGGGAGTGCTATGCTGACATCCAAGCTCTCTCCATCTGTGCTTCTCCATGAATCTCTCCTTTGTTTATTTCTATTGTACCAGCCATGTTTGTGCTGGCTCCTTGTCCATTTCCCAATTTAGTGAAATTTTCAGGATAGCTTACATAGTATTTGTTATTTGGCAAAAGGGCTTGGCATTCCTTTAGAACTGATGTTATTAACACTTTGGCAAAACTCCCTTTCTTTATTCAAGAGGGCAGAACAGAGTACTCTTTATGTGCAAGCAAATTCACCCAACTTTAGTTTCTTTTTTTTTTTTTTTTTTTGTCAGTTTTGGCTCTTCTCAAGCATCTATACAAAGTTATATCTTGACCAAATATGGGCACAGATGTTCTTTTACTGTACAGCAAAACTGCTGATCGTGATAAGAAGGTATCTGTGGGTAGGTTGTGTAGGTCCAGGAATTCTTTGTGATTTCATGCAGCATTTGATGTGGCATATACTTTTATAAAAAGAGTCAGATATTATGAGATTTTCAATGTTTAATAAATAAAAACAATTTAAACCACAAATAAACAAAAAAATACTTAAAAACTTGACTTTTCTATTAGGCTATGGAATATTTAATGTCTGAATCCGTATTAGGAATGAATGAATCTCTATCCAGGCCTGAGGTCATTCCAAATTTGTTAGAATAGAAGTGGGCAGCCATATTCCGAGGGATAACATGCTGGATCTCTGTTATGCCACCAATTTAAATACATGCCAGGGAGGTGTAGAAAAGTTTCCTGGGGCACTCAGAATAATCCTATCCCTGGTGTCACTCAACTGCCTTTGGAGGCATTGCAGCATAGGTTCTTGTGCTCAGTTTCATCAAGTGCCAGCTCTGAGGAGCACAAATTGCTATCTGAACACATCTAGGTTATATATGAAAATAACATTTTTCTGTCATTAGAGAGCTGTATCTTGAGCTGTTTGCTGATACAAGGAATGAGTCTATGTTTATTTCCCTACATTCTTTTGTACCAGTTCCCTAGGGTTCAGAAAATGTATAGGATTTGAAGTGAGAAGAACTAAAATCAATTTAAGCTTCACTAATTTAATAGTGGTGTAACCTTGGGTGAAACATATAAGCACTCTGAGCTTTAATTCCTTAGTCTGTGAAATGGGGATAATGATGCTATCCAAATCCCACAGTTACTCTGATCATCAAATGAAATCATGCATATTATAAAATGTCTTTTTGAGTTATTACCAGCAGATGGTATATCATGCATTTTGAAATGATTAGTCAAGTCTAGAGGTCAGCGTTGAATTATGAATCTAAGTCCTTCTCCTTCTTGAATGAACAAACTAAATTACAATGCCAGGTTTGCTGATTATCAGATCCTGATGCTTGGCTTATAAATCAGCTGTAAGGCTATATACCTATTTCTGTTTTTCAAAGATGAGTGCATTTGAAATCCAATAACTAGAAATTTTCTTCTGAGACAGAAATGGATTTTTAGGGTAAGAAAGGTCACATTTCACTTCATTTTTAAATTTTAATCTCAATTTCTGAAGTCCCTAACTTCTAACAAATCATCATGTAGGTCATACTCTATCCTTCTTTAAAGGAGGAGGGAAAGTGCGCATTGTTAGCCATCTTGAACGTACCAAGTCCTGTAATATGCTCAGCACTTTTCCTGAGTGCTCTCACTACATCCTCACTCTGCCACCATCATCTCTTTCCAATGTTTGTTCCCATAGAACCCTCCTTTTTTTATTTCTTTCAGTTCTTTCCTTTTATATGTAAAACAAAGAAGATGAAGGAAACATTTTCTTATAAATTAAAGACAAAATACCTCCCCTGTAGCCCACATATCTGTAAGAGTTCAATGAAATCCTAGGTGACAACTCTTCAAAGAAAACCCCATTGAAGAGCATTGTTTGGGTGTTTTGTGTAAAATGCTGGTTTGTTTGTAGAATGTCCTCAGGAGAGCTGCACTGTCATCCCTGTCTTATTGCAATGGAGCTGTAGGAACTTAACCTCTTCAAATTGCATTGACCTTCTCTATAACAGAACATTGGCCTAAGCCAGGTCTGTATCCTTAGCCAGCCTTTGAATCATCAAATTCTGGGCCTTTGCCTACATGTAACTGTTGTGAAAGCAATACATATGCACCTGGCTTATCAGCTGAGACGTCAATCAGTCCTCTAATTCTTTAACCTCTTCTCTTTTGCATCTGGGTAAAAATAAAAAGGTAGGAATGTTTGTAGAGTACTTGAAAGAGCTTTATTTTTCTTTACAGTGTTCATGGTAAAATAGTAGTTAAAAAATAGGAAATCTTGAAAGAGCTTTATTTTTCTTTACAGTGTTGATGGTAAAATAGTAGTTAAACAATAGAAAATCAGTTATTTGAAAATGCTTGAGAATTTTAAACAAATAATCCAGAATTTAGAATTGATATTTCACAGTCCATGTTTACCAAAAATATTGCTGGGTTCATTCACTGTTGTTTGATTACCAAAAGAACAAAAGTAAGACAGAAAGATTACAGATTCTTTCTTTAGCAAAGTTTATTTATTGGGATAATCACTGCTTTCTTATAAAGCGGAGCCCTGTTAGGATAAGAAAGAGGTGGCTCTAATTATTTCAGGGCCTCATAACACAAAAGATGGAAATTGCCTTAGCTATTCCATTCTTATTTTGCTGCCTAGATTTTAAAGGTGCAAAGAATCTGATTAACTGGCACAGACCTCTTGACACACCAAGCATATGGAAAGAATTCAGGCTTGTCAAAGATCAGATGGTTGTAGACATGTGGCATTATTTCTGAGGGCTCTGTTCTGTTCCATTGGTATATATCTCTGTTTTGGTACCAGTACCATGCTATTTTGGTTACTGTAGCCTTGTAGTATAGTTTGAAGTCAGGTAGTGAGATGCCTCCAGCTTTGTTCTTTTGGCTTAGGGTTGACTTGGCAATGCAAGCTCTTTTTTGGTTCCATATGAACTTTAAAGTAGTTTTTTCCAATTCTGTGAAGAAAGTCATTGGTAGCTTGATGGGGATGGCATTGAATCTATAAATTACCTTGGGCAGCATGGCCATTGTCATGATATTGATTCTTCCTATCCATGAGCATGGAATGTTCTTCCATTTGTTTGTATCCTCTTTTATTTCATTGAGCAGTGGTTTGTAGTTCTCCTTGAAGAGGTCCTTCATGTCCCTTGGAAGTTGGATTCCTAGGTATTTTATTCTCTTTGAAGCAATTGTAAATGGGAATTCACTCCTGATTTGGCTCTCTGTTTGTCTGTTATTGATGTATAAGAATGCTTGTGATTTTTGCACATTGATTTTGTATCCTGAGACTTTGCTGAAGTTGCTTATCAGCCTAAGGAGATGTTGGGCTGAGACGATGGGGTTTTCTAGATATACAATCATGTCATCTGCAAACAGGGACAATTTGACTTCCTCTTTTCCTAATTGAATACCCTTTATTTCCTTCTCCTGCCTAATTGCCCTGGCCAGAACTTCCAACACTATGTTGAATAGGAGTGGTGAGAGAGGACATCTCTGTCTTGTGCCCGTTTTCAAAGGGAATGCTTCCAGTTTTTGCCCATTCAGTATGATATTAGCTGTGGGTTTGTCATAGATAGCTCTTATTATTTTGAGATACATCCCATCAATACCTAATTTATTGAGAGTTTTTAGCATGAAGGGTTGTTGAATTTTGTCAAAGGCCTTTTCTGCATCTATTGAGATAATCATGTGGTTTTGTCGTTGGTTCTGTTTATATGCTGGATTATGTTTATTGATTTGCATATATTGAACCAGCCTTGCATCCCAGGGATGAAGCCCACTTGATCATGGTGGATAAGCTTTTTGATGTGCTGCTGGATTTGGTTTGCCAATATTTTATTGAGGATTTTTGCATCGATGTTCATCAAGGATATTGGTCTAAAATTCTCTTTTTTTGTTGTGTCTCTGCTAGGCTTTGGTATCAGGATGATGCTGGCCTCATAAAATGAGTTAGGGAGGATTCCCTCTTTTTCTGTTGATTGGAACAGTTTCAGAAGGAATGGTACCAGCTCCTGCTTGTACCTCTGGTAGAATTCGGCTATGAATCCATCTGGTCCTGGACTTTTTTTGGTTGGTAAGCTATTAATTATTGCCTCAATTTCAGAGCCTGTTATTGGTCTATTCAGAGATTCAACTTCTTCCTGGTTTAGTCTTGGGAGGGTGCATGTGTCGAGGAATTTATCCATTTCTTCTAGATTTCTAGTTTATTTGCATAGAGGTGTTTATAGTATTCTCTGATGGTAGTTTGTATTTCTGTGGGATCGGTAGTGATATCCCCTTTATCATTTTTTATTGCGTCTATTTGATTCTTCTCTCTTTTCTTCTTTATTAGTCTTGCTAGCGGTCTATCAATTTTGTTGATCTTTTCAAAAAACCAGCTCCTGGATTCACTGATATTTTGAAGGGTTTTTTTGTGTCTCTATTTCCTTCAGTTCTGCTCTGATCTTGGTTATTTCTTGCCTTCTGCTAGCTTTTGAATGTGACAAACCTGACAAAAACAAGAAATGGGGAAAGGATTCCCTAGTTAATAAACGGTGCTGGGAAAACTGGCTAGCCATATGTAGAAAGCTGAAACTGGATCCCTTCCTTACACCTTATACAAAAATTAATTCAAGATGGATTAAAGACTTAAATGTTAGACCTAAAACCATGAAAATCCTAGAAGAAAACTTAGGCAATACCATTCAGGACATAGGCATGGGCAAGGACTTCATGTCTAAAACACCAAAAGCAATGGCAACAAAAGCCAAAATTGACAAATGGGATCTAATTAAACTAAAGAGCTTCTGCACAGCAAAAGAAACTACCATCAGAGTGAACAGGCAACCTACAGAATGGGAGAAAATTTTTGCAATCTACTCATCTGACAAAGGGCTAATATCCAGAAACTACAATGAACTCAAACAGATTTACAAGAAGAAAACAACCCCATCAACAAGTGGGCAAAGGATATGAACAGATACTTCTCAAAAGAAGACATTTATGCAGCCAAAAGACACATGAAAAAATGCTCATCATCACTGGCTATCAGAGAAATGCAAATCAAAACCACAGTGAGATACCATCTCACACCAGTTAGAATGGTGATCATTAAAAAGTCAGGAAACAACAGGTGCTGGAGAGGATGTGGAGAAATAGGGACACTTTTACACTGTTGGTGGGACTGTAAACTAGTTCAACCCTTGTGG